>NC_000012.12:28611601-28764296 GCF_000001405.40 Homo sapiens | reverse complement strand
CTTGTGATTTTTGTACATTGATTTTGTATCCTGAGACTTTGCTGAAGTTGCTTATCAGCTTAAGGAGATTTTGGGCTGAGACAATGGGGTTTTCTAGATATACAATCATGTTGTCTGCAAACAGGGACAATTTGACTTCCTCTTTTCCTAATTGAATCCCCTTTATTTCCTTCTCCTGCCTGATTGCCCTGGCCAGAACTTCCAACACTATGTTGAATAGGAGTGGTGAGAGAGGGCATCCCTGTCTTGTGCCAGTTTTCAAAGGGAATGCTTCCAGTTTTTGCCCATTCAGTATGATATTGGCTGTGGGTTTGTCATAAATAGCTCTTATTATTTTGAAATACGTCCCACCAATACCTAATTTATTGAGAGTTTTTAGCATGAAGAGTTGTTGAATTTTGTCACAGGCTTTTTCTGCACCTATTGAGATAATCATGTGGTTTTTGTCTTTGGCTCTGTTTATATGCTGGATTACATTTATTGATTTGCATATATTGAACCAGCCTTGCATCCCAGGGATGAGGCCCACTTGATCATGGTGGATAAGCTTTTTGATGTGCTGCTGGATTCGGTTTGCCAGTATTTTATTGAGGATTTTTGCATCAATGTTCATCAAGGATATTGGTCTAAAATTCTCTTTTTTGGTTGTGTCTCTGCCTGGCTTTGGTATCAGGATGATGCTGGCCTCATAAAATGAGTTAGGGAGGATTCCCTCTTTTTCTATTGATTGGAATAGTTTCAGAAGGAATGGTACCAGTTCCTCCTTGTACCTCTGGTAGAATTCGGCTGTGAATCCATCTTGTCCTGGACTCTTTTTGGTTGGTAAACTATTGATTATTGCCACAATTTCAGAGCCTGTTATTGGTCTATTCAGAGATTCAACTTCTTCCTGGTTTAGTCTTGGGAGAGTGTATGTGTCGAGGAATGTATCCATTTCTTCTAGATTTTCTAGTTTATTTGCGTAGAGGTGTTTGTAGTATTCTCTGATGGTAGTTTGTATTTCTGTGGGATCGGTGGTGATATCCCCTTTATCATTTTTTATTGTGTCTATTTGATTCTTCTCTCTTTTTTTCTTTATTAGTCTTGCTAGCGGTCTATCAATTTTGTTGATCCTTTCCAAAAACCAGCTCCTGGATTCATTAATTTTTTGAAGGGTTTTTTGTGTCTCTATTTCCTTCAGTTCTGCTCTGATTTTAGTTCTTTCTTGCCTTCTGCTAGCTTTTGAATGTGTTTGCTCTTGCTTTTCTAGTTCTTTTGATTGTGATATTAGGGTGTCAATTTTGGATCTTTCCTGCTTTCTCTTGTGGGCATTTAGTGCTATAAATTTCCCTCTACACACTGCTTTGAATGCGTCCCAGAGATTCTGGTATGTTGTGTCTTTGTTCTCGTTGGTTTCAAAGAACATCTTTATTTCTGCCTTCATTTCGTTATGTACCCAGTAGTCATTCAGGAGCAGGTTGTTCAGTTTCCATGTAGTTGAGTGGTTTTGAGTGAGATTCTTAATCCTGAGTTCTAGTTTGATTGCACTGTGGTCTGAGAGATAGTTTGTTATAATCTCTGTTCTTTTACATTTGCTGAGGAGAGCTTTACTTCCAAGTATGTGGTCAATTTTGGAATAGGTGTGGTGTGGTGCTGAAAAAAATGTATATTCTGTTGATTTGGGGTGGAGAGTTCTGTAGATGTCTATGAGGTCCGCTTGGTGCAGAGCTGAGTTCAATTCCTGGGTATCCTTGTTGACTTTCTGTTTCGTTGATCTGTCTAATGTTGACAGTGGGGTGTTAAAGTCTCCCATTATTAATGTGTGGGAGTCTAAGTCTCTTTGTAGGTCACTCAGGACTTGCTTTATGAATCTGGGTGCTCCTGTATTGGGTGCATATATATTTAGGATAGTTAGTTCTTCTTGTTGAATTGATCCCTTTACCATTATGTAATAGCCTTTTTTTGTCTCTTCTGATCTTTGTTGGTTTAAAGTCTGTTTTATCAGAGACTAGGATTGCAACCCCTGCCTTTTTTTGTTTTCCATTTGCTTGGTAGATTTTCCTCCATCCTTCTATTTTGAGCCTATGTGTGTCTCTGCACGTGAGATGGGTTTCCTGAATACAGCACCCTGATGGGTCTTGACTCTTTATCCAATTTGCGAGTCTGTGTCTTTTAATTGGAGCATTTAGTCCATTTACATTTAAAGGTAATATTGTTATGTGTGAATTTGATCCTGTCATTATGATGTTAGCTGGTTATTTTGCTCGTTAGTTGATGCAGTTACTTCCTGGCCTCGATGGTCTTTACATTTTGGCATGATTTTGCAGTGGCTGGTTCCGGTTGTTCCTTTCCATGTTTAGTGCTTCCTTCAGGAGCTCTTTTAGGGCAGGCCTGGTGGTGACAAAATCTCTCAGCATTTGCTTGTCTGTAAAGTATTTTATTTCTCCTTCACTTATGAAGCTTAGTTTGGCTGGATATGAAATTCTGGGTTGAAAATTCTTTTCTTTAAGAATGTTGAATATTGGCCCCCACTCTCTTCTGGCTTGTAGGGTTTCTGCCAAGAGATCAGCTGTTAGTCTGATGGGCTTCCCTTTGAGCGTAACCCGACCTTTCTCTCTGGATGCCCTTAACATTTTTTCCTTTACTTCAACTTTGGTGAATCTGACAATTATGTGTCCTGGAGTTCCTCTTCTCGAGGAGTATCTTTGTGGTGTTCTCTGTATTTCCTGAATCTGAACATTGGCCTGCCTTGCTAGATTGGGGAAGTTCTCCTGGATAATATCCTGCAGAGTGTTTTCCAACTTGGTTCCATTCTCCCCGTCACTTTCAGGTACACCAATCAGACGTAGATTTGGTCTTTTCACATAGTCCTATATTTCTTGGAGGCTTTGCTCATTTCTTTTTATTCTTTTTTCTCTAAACTTCCCTTCTCACTTCATTTCATTCATTTCATCTTCCATTGCTGATACCCTTTCTTCCAGTTGATCGCATCGGCTCCTGAGGCTTCTGCATTCTTCACAGAGTTCTCGAGCCTTGGTTTTCAGCTCCATCAGCTCCTTTAAGCACTTCTCTGTATTGGTTATTCTAGTTATACATCCTTCTAAATTTTTTTCAAAGTTTTCAACTTCTTTGCCTTTGGTTTGAATGTCCTCCCATAGCTCAGAGTAATTTGATCATCTGAAGCCTTCTTCTCTCAGCTTACTTTTGGTCTTTGATGATGGTGATGTACAGATGGGTTTTTGGTGTGGATGTCCTTTCTGTTTGTTAGTTTTCCTTCTAACAGACAGGACCCTCAGCTGCAGGTCTGTTGGAATACCCTGCTGTGTGAGGTGTCAGTGTGCCCCTGCTGGGGGGTGCCTCCTAGTTAGGCTGCTCGGGGATCAGGGGTCAGGGACCCACTGGAGGAGGCAGTCTGCCTGTTCTCAGATCTCCAGCTGCATGCTGGGAGAACCACTGCTCTCTTCAAAGCTGTCAGACAGGGACATTTAAGTCTGTAGAGGTTACTGCTGTCTTTTTGTTTGTCTGTGCCCTGCCCCCAGAGGTGGAGCCTACAGAGGCAGGCACGCCTCCTTGAGCTGTGTTGGGCTCCACCCAGTTCGAGCTTCCGGGCTGCTTTGTTTACCTAAGCAAGCCTGGGCAATGACGGGCGCCCCTCCCCCAGCCTCGCTGCCGCCTTGCAGTTTGATCTCAGACTGCTGTGCTAGCAATCAGCGAGACTCCGTGGGCATAGGACTCTCCGAGCCAGGTGCGGGATATAATCTCGTGGTGCGCCGTTTTTTAAGCCCGTCGGAAAAGCACAGTATTCGGGTGGGAGTGACCCGATTTTCCAGGTGCGTCGGTCACCCCTTTCTTTGACTCAGAAAGGGAACTCCCTGACCCCTTGCGCTTCGCAAGTGAGGCAATGCCTCGCCCTGCTTCGCTCGCACACGGTGCGCGCACCTACTGACCTGTGCCCACTGTCTGGCACTCCCTAGTGAGATGAACCCGGTACCTCAGATGGAAATGCAGAAATCACCCATCTTCTGCGTCGCTCAAGCTGGGAGCTGTAGACCGGAACTGTTCCTATTCGGCCATCTTGTCTCCTCCCTTGGATTCAACTTAATCTTTAGTGTATCTCTCCAGGCATAGACACAGGAATTGATATTGACACCCAAAAGACAGCCCAAACTAAGCTATAATATTTATCAAGCTGTTATGATATATATATATGAAAAATTATCTGTATATGAAAGATAAAATAATAAAGATTTTTAAAAGTATAAGTAAACAACTTTATGACTTTAGAGTAGGCAAGGCTTTTTAATAAACACAAAAAGCATTAAACATAAAGAAAAATTGATAAATTGTGTTAAAATTTAAAAGTTCTGTTTGTCAAAATACATCATTGATGGGTAAATAGGCAGCCCACAGAAGGGAAGAAGTTATTGACAATACACATATCCAATAAAAGACTTATATCTAGAAATATAAAGGTCAATCAAGCCAAAAGAAAAAGATTGAAATCCCATGAAGAAATAAGGAAAGAGTTGAGCAACAGCTTCACAAAAAGGATATCTAAATGGCTAATAATCATCTGAAAGGTACTTAATTTCATAGTATGTTAGATTGCAAAAATGAATCACTTCTTCCAACTCTGTCTCTACACCCTTTTCCATGCAACTTGGTAGAACTGACTAACTCTCAATCTGAGCAAGGCTGAGTGACTCATTTTAACCAATGGGATATTAGCAAATGCCATGCAAACAAAGGCTTGTAAAGCACTTGCACAATTGGGTTTCTTTGCTTTAGCACCTGTGCCATTTCCATGAGAATGCTGGGGCAACTCTGCTGGTGAATGAGAGATTTGCAGAGCAGAGATGAGTCATGCCAATCACTTCAGCTGCAGCTAGCCTCAATCTGCCAGCCGTCAGTGGACACCCTCAGTCATGTATGCAAGCCCAGCTAAGAACAGCAGAGTTGCCAAATCATCCCATCCCCACCTGACTCCATACTTGAGATCAATACATGAGATCATATCATGATCAAATCATGAGATCAATACATACTTGAGAGCAAAACATTGCAAATAAAGAGTTGATGCACTACTACTACATACACACTAAAATTGCTAAAATAAAGAACAAAACATCCCAAGTGTTAGCAAGAATTTAGAGCAATCAGGACTTTCATACATTGCCAGTTCAAACGTTGTGGAAACTGCAGTATCTTTTATAGTTGAATGCGTGCACACCCTATGACCAGCAATTCTACTCCTAGGCATGTACCAAACAGAAATGTGTATATGTGTTCACCACAAGGCGTATACTAAAATATTTGTCATAGAACTGTGGTAGTCAAAGAATTAGAAACTACTCAAATTTTCATAAAAAATAGAATGTATTAATAAATTGTGATATATTCACTCAGTAGAATTCTATATAGCAGTGAGAATGAACTACCACATCTATTCACACCAATGTGGATAAAATCAACATGCATAATGCTGAGCAAAAGAAGCTGGACATAAAAGAGTACATGTTGTCTATCTGATTCCATTTGTATAAAAAAACAAAAAATAATCATAATCAATGTTATTACAAGTCAGAATTGTTATTATTTTTGGGTGGAAGATGGCTATTGGAAAAAATGGACGCATTCTGGAGTACTAGTAATATTCTGTTTCTATCTGTCTACTGATGATGCTGTTGTGTTCCATTTGTAAAAATTTATTGAACTGTATGCTCACAGTTCAGTGCAACTTACACTGGAGGAGGAATAAAAATTGGTATTAATAGAAATGCATCTAGAGTTTTGAAACTCTTTCAAAAAATTAAAGAAGAGAGAATACTTCTAAATTCATTGCATGAGGCCAGCATTACCCTAGTACCAAAGTCAGACAAGAATACTACAAAAAAAGAAAACTACAGGCCAATATCTCTGATGATCATAAAAGCAAAAATCCTCAACAAAATACTAAAAAATGAAATTGAACAACACATTAAAAAGATCATTCGCCATGATCAAGTGGGATTCATCCCAGGGATGCAAGCATGGTTCAATATATGTAAATCAATAGGTATGTGTATTTGTCTGTTTTCACACTGCCATAAAGAAATATCTGAGACTGGGCAATTTATAAAGGAAAGAAATTTAATTGACTTACAGTTCTGCATTGCTGAGGGGGGGCCTCAGGAAACTTACAATCATGGTGGAAGGTTAAAGGGGATGCAGGCACCTTCTTCACAAGGAGGCAGGAGAGAGTGAGAGTATGTGAAGGAGGAACTATTAAACACTTATAAAACCACCAGATCTTGTAAGAACTCACTCACCATCATGAGAACAGCATGCAGGAAACTGCCCCCATGATACAATCACTTCCCACCAAGTCCCTCTCTTGACACATGGGGGTTACGAAGATTACAATTTAAGACAAGATTTGAGTGGGGACACAGAGCCAAACCATACCAGTATGATACATCATGTTAATAGAATGAAAGGCAAACACCACATGATAATTTCAATAGATGCAGAAAAAGCATCTGACAAAATTCAACATCCTTTCATAACAAAAACTCTCAACAAATTAGGTATAGAAGGAATGTACTTCAACACAATAAAGACCATATGCAAGAAACT
The DNA here is from genome assembly GCF_000001405.40 of Homo sapiens. Taxonomy (NCBI): domain Eukaryota; kingdom Metazoa; phylum Chordata; class Mammalia; order Primates; family Hominidae; genus Homo; species Homo sapiens. The sequence goes on along the minus strand of NC_000012.12, from coordinate 28,757,702 downwards.
CACAGCTTACACCATACACAATTAGGAAAAGTTTAAAGTTTTTTCTTTAAGATCTGGAAGAAGTCAAAGATACCACTCTTGCCACTTCTGTGCAACATTGACTAAAAGTCCTAGCCAGGGCAATTAATCAAGAGAAGGAAATGAAAAGTATCCAAATTGAGAAGGAAGAATTCAAATTGTTTCTGTTTGTAGATAACATGATTTATACATGAAAAACTGTAAAGACTCCACCAAAAAACTGTTAGAACTAATAAATGAACTCAGTAAAGGTAGAATACAAAATCAAAATACAAAAAGAAGTAGCATTTCAATACACTAAGAGCAACTTATCTTAAAAAAATCAAAAAGAAATCCTATTTATAAGAGTTACAAAAAATACTTAGGAATAAATGTAACCAAGGAGGTGAAAACCATAAAACCATCATAAATCCATGATATAAACTGAAAAGATAAAAATAATGAAAAGATATTTTTATGGATTGAAAGAACTAATATTATTGTTTATACCAGCCAAAGCAATCTACAAACTTAGTGCAATACCTACCAAAAACATCAATGACATTCTTCACAGAAATAGAAAAAATAATACTAAAATTTGCAGCAAAAGACCTCAAATAGCAAAGGTTATCATACGGAAAAAAGAAAAAAGCTAGAGGCATCATACTGCGTGACTTTGAAATATACTACAGAACTACAGCAACCAAAACAGCATGATGCTGGCATAAAAACAGAAACATAGACAAATGGATCAAAATAGAGAGCCTAGAAATAAATCCATGTGAACTAATTTTTGACAATGTTGCCACAAACACACAATAGGGAAAAGAGCAGTCTTTTTAATAAATGGTACTGGGAAAATTAGATATCCATATGTGGAAGAATAAAATTAGACGTTTATCTCACACCATATACAAAAATCAAGCTAAATTGATTAGACTTAAATGTAAGGCCTGCAACTGTAAAACTACTAGAAGAAAATATAGGGAAAAAGCTCAGTGAAACTGGTCTAAGCTATGATTTTTTGGATACAACTTCAGAGGCAAAGGCAAAAAAAGTTAAAATAGACAAATGAGATAGCATCAAAATAAAAAGCTTCTGCACAGCAAAGGAATCAATCAGGTTCTTTTGTAGGTTGTGAAGAGACAACCTATAGAATGGGAAAAAGTATTTGCAAAGTAAACACCCGATAAGGGGTTAATAGTTGATGATTCGTAATGTTGAACATCACTAATCAATAGAGAAATGCAATTTAAAACAAACCTGATATTTCACCTCAGTCCTATGCCCCTTATCTCCTACTGCTTCATTATTTCTGTGTGCCATGGTCCCAGATGACTGTTCAAGCTGCAGCCATCATAACTGCACTGCAACTACCAGGAAGAAGAAAGGGGTCCTAAAGAAAGATGCATATTCTACTTTAGGGAAACTTCTAGGAAGATGCACATAATACTTCTGCTCACATCCCTGATATGGTTTGGCTGTGTCACCACTCAAATCTCATCTTGAATTGTAGCTCCCATACTCCCCACATGTCATGGAAGGGACCCAGTGGGAGGTAACTGAATCTTGGGGGTGGGTTTTTCCTGTGCTGTTCTCATGATAGTGAATAATTATCATGAGATCTGATGGTTTCATAAAGGGCAGTTCCTCTGCACATGCTCTCTTGCTTGCCACCACATAAGACATCACTTTGCTCCTCCTTCACTTTCTGCCATGATCATGGCGCCTCCCCAGCCATGTGGAACTGTGAGTCCATTAAACCTCTTTTTCTTTATACATTACCCAGTCTCAGGTGTTTCTTCATAGCAGTATGAAAATGGATTAATACAGTAAATTGGTACTGGTAGAGTGGGCTGTTTTTATTAAGATACCCAAAAATGTGGAAGTGACTTTGGAAGTGGGTAACAAGCAGAGGTTGAAACAGTTTAGAGGGCTAGAAGACAGGAAAATGTGGGAAAGTTTGAAACTCCTAGATACTTGGAGGGCTCAGAAGACATGAAGATGTGGGAATGTTTGGAACTTCCTAGAGACTTGTTGAATGGCTTTGACCAAAATGCTGATAGTGATAGTCCAGGCTGAGGTGGTCTCAGATGGAGATGAGGAACTTGTTGGGAACTGGAGCAAAGGTTACTCTTGTTATGGTTTAGCAAAGAGACTGGTGGCATTTTGCTCCTGCCCTAGAGAGCCCAGGAATGTGAACTTGAGAGAGACCATTTAGGGTTTCTGGAGGAAGAAATTTCTAAGCGGCAAGGCACTCAAGAAAAGCAGAGAAAAAAGTTTGAAAAATTTGCAGCTTGACAATGCAACAGAAAAGAAAAATCCATTTTCTAGGGAGAAATTCAAACCTGCTGCAGAATTTTGCATAATTAACAAGGAGCCAAATGTTAATCACTAAGACAATGAAGACAATGTTTCCAGGGAATATCAGAGACCTTTGTGGCAGCCCTTCTCATCACAGGCCTGAAGGCCTAGGAGGGAAAAATGGTTTCCTGGGCCAGGTCCAGGGCCTCCCTGCTGTGTGCAGCCCAAGGACTTGCTGCCCTGCATCCCAGCTGCTCCAACCATGGCTAAAATGGGCCAAGGTGCAGCTCAAGCCGTGGCTTCAGAGGGATCAAGCCACAAGCTTTGGCAGCTTCCATGTGATGTTGAGCCTGCAGGTGCACAGAAGTCAAGAACTGAGGTTTGAGAACCTCTTCCTAGATTTCAGAGGATGTATGGAAATGCCTGGATGTTCAGGCAGAAGTTTGCTGCACAGGCAGGGACCTCACAGAGAACCTTTGCTAGGGCAGTGCAGAAGGGAAATGTGGGGTTGGAGCCCCAATACAGAGTCTCCACTGCATCACTGCCTAGTGGAGCTGTGAGAAGAAAGCCACTGTCCTCCAGACCCCAGAATGGTAGATCCACTGACAGCTTGCACCATGAACCTGGAAAAGCTGCAGACACTCAGTGCCTGCCTGTGAAAGCATCTGGGAGGGGGGGTCTATACCCTGCAAAGCCATAGGGGTGGAGCTGCCCAAGGACATGGGAGCACACCTCTTGCATCAGCGTGACCTGGATGTGAGACAGGGAGTCAAAGGAGATCATTTTGGAATTTTAAGGTTTAATGACTGCCCTGTTGGATTTTGGACTTCCATGGAGCGTATGGCTCGTTTGTTTTGGCCAATTTCTCCATTTTGGAATGGCTGTATTTACTGAGTTCCTGTACTCCCATTGTATTTAGGAAGTAACTAATTTGCTTTTGATTTTACAGGCTCAGAGGCAGAAGGGACTTGCCTTATCTCAGATGAGACTTTGGGGTTGGACTTTTGGGTTGATGCTGGAATGAATTAAGAATTTGGGGGACTATTGGAAAGGCATGATTGGTTTTGAAATGTGAGGACATGAGATTTGGGAGAGGCCAGGGGTGGAATGATATAGTTTGGCTGTGTGCCCATCCAAATCTCACCTTGAATTGTAGCTTCCATAATCCCCACATGTCATGGGAGGGACCCAGGACTCATTGGGAGGTAATTGAACCATGGGAGCAGATTTTTCCCCTGCTTTTCTCATGATAGTGAATATGTCTCATGAGATCTGATGGTTTTTAAAGGGCAGTTCTCCTGCACATGCTGTCTTGCCTGACACCATGTAAGATCTTCCTCCTTCACTTTCTGCCATGATTGTAAGGTCTCCCCAGCCATGTGGAACTGTGAGTCAGTCCATTAAACCTCTTTTTCTTTATATATTACCCAGTCTCAGGTATTTCTTCATAGCAATAAGAAGATAGACTAATACAATCCCATTAGCCAGAATTTAATTAAAAGCTACCTCTATCTGCAAGAGACTGTGAAACACAATCTATATTCCAAGTGAAAAAGTCCAACTGAAAATCAGTTCTATTTTTCTAAGAAGGGCAGAATGGATATTGGGGCCAACTAGTAAGCTTTGACATGCCCTTCTACCGAATTTCTTTACTGGCTATCTCTGTCTTTAGCTCTGCGTATTATAGGAACTGGTGTCCTTTCCCAAGCAGCAATTGGAAAACTTTTTGTAAAAGACCAGGTGGTAATTATTTCAAGCTTTGCAGACCCAACAGTCTTGGTCACAACTACTCATCTTTGCTGTGATGTCACAAAAGCAGCATAAACAACATGTAAATGAATGAGTGTGCCTGTGTAGAATAACACTATATTTCCAAAGTCAGGCAATGGGCCAAATTTGTCCCATGAACTACAGTTTGCTGATCCCTGCTATACTAGTCTGTTTGCATTGCTATAAAGGAATACCTGAGACTGGGTAATATATAAAGAAAAGGGGATTATTTTGGCTCACAGTTCTGCAGGCTGTACAGGAAGCATGGTGCCAGCATCTGCTCCTGGTGAGGGCCTCAGGAAGCTTCCACTCATGGCAAAAGGTGAAAGTGGAGCAGGTTCATCACATGGCAAGAGCCAAAGCAAGAGCTGATGGAGAGAGGTGCTCCCGACTCTTTTAAACAACCAGATTTCTCAAGAACTCAAAGCAGTGATAACTCACTCATTACTGCTAAAAGGGCATGAAGCCATTCATGAGGGATCCACCCCCATGACCCAAACACCTTCCACCAGGCCTCACCTCCAACATTGGAGGTCACATTTCAAGATGAGATTCAGAGGGGACAAAACGTCCAAACCCTATCCCTATCACCTGCTTCAGATGCTTCAGACAGTCAGTAAGCCTCATGAGAACAGAAAGGATGCCTGGCTTATTCTCCATGATGTCCTCATGCTCTGGCATATGGTCACTGATAAAAAAAAATATTGATTATTTTCGCAACCTACTCATCTGACAAAGGGCTAATATCCAGAATCTACAATGAACTCAAACAAATTTACAAGAAAAAAAAAACAACCCCATCAAAAAGTGGGCAAAGGACATAAACAGACACTTCTCAGAAGAAGACATTTATGCAGCCAAAAAACACATGAAAAAATGCTCACCATCACTGGCCATCACAGAAATGCAAATCAAAACCACAATCAGATACCATCTCATCCAGTTAGAATGGTGATCATTAAAAAGTCAGGAAACAACAGGTGCTGGAGAGGATGTGGAGAAATAGGAACACTTTTACACTGTTGGTGGGACTGTAAACTAGTTCAACCATTGTGGAAGTCAGTGTGGCGATTCCTTGGGAATCTAGAACTAGAAATACCATTTGACCCAGCCATCCCATTACTGGGTATATACCCAAAGGACTCTAAATCATGCTGCTATAAAGACACATGCACACGTATGTTTATTGCGGCACTATTCACAATAGCAAAGACTTGGAACCAAGCCAAATGTCCAACAATGATAGACTGGATTAAGAAAATGTGGCACATATACACCATGGAATACTATGCAGCCATAAAAATGATGAGTTCATGTCCTTTGTAGGGACATGGATGAAATTGGAAATCATCATTCTCAGTAAACTATCGCAAGAACAAAAAACCAAACACTGCATATTCTCACTCATAAGAGGGAATTGAACAATGAGAACACATGGTCACAGGAAGGGGAACATCACACTCCAGGGACTGTTGTGGAGTAGGGGGAGGTGGGAGGGATAGCTTTAGGAGATATATCTAATGCTAAATGAAAAGTTAATGGGTGCAGCACACCAGCATGGCACATGTATACATATGTAACTAACCTGCACATTGTGCACATGTACCCTAAAACTTAAAGTAAAATAATAATAAAAAAATATAAAAAATCAATTATAAAATATGAGGACCTTTTAAAAAGAACTTCAAGGTGTCTTAATTTTTATTTCAAGCTTATTTCAAGAAAGAAAAGGAGTTAAGTTGAGCATCACCAAGAGATGATACAAAGTTCAAGGTGAATGGAGAAGAAAAGAAGGGAAGGGAAGTGTGTGTGTGTGTGTGTGTGTGTGTGTTGTGGTGGTGGTGATGTTGGAGGTGGTGGTGATGGTCAGGGGACGACAAAGAGAATAATCCAAAAAGAACATTTTATTAGCCTGTTAGGTTCATGAGGACTTTATGGTTGGTAAACAAACAAATTCTCTCCTCCACTACCCACAGTCTTTTGGATTCTTTTCATTTAAGGAGGCTGGTATGAGAAGTCTGGAAAAGGTGTTATTTTTTACAATTAGAGGATCCAAATGCAAGCCTGGGAGAAGCATTATTTCTTCATGTTGACTCATTCTTTTCTTTGGGGGTCAACTCCCTCATCCCATTCATCCTTCCCTCTCTGAAAGCGATCCAGGAAAACTGCATGCTCCTCTTGGAATTCCACAAATAGAACACAGCAAAACATTAATGAAGAGAGAAAACAGTTTTCATTTATTTTGCTTTCAGAAATACACTTGGAATGGTCTGTGCCAGAGTTGTACTATATCAAAGAAACCATAATCCAAAAAACAAACCCTTTTTAAATGATAACCAACTGTATTTTGTATTTTCATTGAATTACTTTATTTCTGTAAAAAACAGAATTTCCATTTTTTCAATCAAAGAGCTGAGTTTCTAAAGCTTCCTGTGGTCTATTTACATTTCCTACAGTAACCTTCTTAAGCAAGAGACCAAGGAAAATATGAAACTTACTTTTTTGTTTCATTTTCCCTTTTTAAAGGAGCTTCTGTATTTTCCTGACCTTGTTAAGGCCTAAGCAACAACAACAATTTTCAAATAAAAATTAGCAACAGATTAGCAGATGCCTCTTTATTACAAGAATTATTGTCAGTTTTCAGTTACATCATCACCTCTGGCTATATGCTATGCATTGGATACTTATGTTACTTTGCCTTCTTTTTTCCTCAAGAGCAACTAATCAAGAAAAGTAAGATAGTAAGATGAATCTAAATGTCTATGAACTGAAGAGTGGGATCCTTTAAGAGTAGTCTGACAGATATCATTTAGAAGGAACGTATTGTTAACTATTGAAACAAGATGGTGAAGGTAGGAAATCAAGACCTTAGAAGGGTTGCATTCATTCACTTATTTAAACAATATTTTTTGAAGATTTTTATTTAATCATCAGTGTAGTAGGTGCTGGTAGAGGGAGAAAAAAAAAGAGTTGTCAATCATACTGCAGGACCATGAGTTTCTCTCAAGGGTTGGGCTACTGCAAAATAAATAACTTTAAAGATAAGAAACCTGGAACCTCATCAAATCATAGCTTTCAGAATGTTCTTGACTTTCCCGCATCCTCTGGGGAGCAATGGAGCAGAATAACTCTTTAAAATACAGAGATTTTAAATAGGTCTGTGGATGTCATTCAGCCTAAAATTCCCACTGGCTTCCTCCATCTGTTATGGTATCTTCAGTTGCTTCATTCAACTAGACACAAAATGATCCTTTCAACCTCATTGTTGAAGGTTTCAGCTGACATTGTTTGAAGAGAATACTTCCTCCTTCTTCTCTGGAAGACACCCTAATTGGACTCTCTGGGCTCCATCCATCACTCCTGCCCAGGCTAGATGGAATCACTTACCTGGATGGTAAATAGGAATAGGAAAAGTAAGCAGAACCCTGGTCTTTTTTCTCTTACTTGAATGCAAACTGCCTGTAGGGAGCATAAGTTTTCGGTTGATGAGAAAGCCTAAATTTGATGCTTAATAGGGAGAAGCTTACTTGTCAGCAGTTATAAGCCATGGCCTTCGATCTAGCTTTCCATAGTAAAAAAAGCAAAATATTGGTTTCTACAGGCCAACTTTTTTATTATGTCTCAAATGGTTCAGACCTTGGATAGGAAAAAGTGCTGTTATTATTGGTCCTCCTTGCCTCATGATCCCAATATCTAGTGCCATTAATTTTGAGAGAAAGAGACAGGGAATGAAATTTGCAGATGGAAACAAAACAAAACTATGCTTAGAGGTATTTGATGAAGCCCCAGGAAGCTTCCAATCATGGTAGATTGTAATGAATGTTAAAATCATACAAATAAAATATTTGGTTACATGAAGCATGTTTTGAGCTTTGGGCTTTAATAGAGGTCATGTACATCTTTGACCTTGCCTGCTTCCTTTAATTCTTTTGAAGTTGCACTTTAGGACAGCTTCTGTGCCCCAGCTGTCCAGGCATGAGTGCAGGGGTCAGCAAACCACGACCCATGGCCTATTATGGCCTGCTGCGTGTTTTAGTGAAAAATTAAAGTTTTACTGAAACACAGCTGTTAAAACATAAACTGAGGCACAATAAAAATTTAAAGAGTTTATTTGAGCAAATGGTGATTTATGAATTGGGCAGCTTCAAACCAGAAATGGTCTAGGGGCTCCATTGAAGAAGACTGAGTGACAGGTTTTCATAGAATGAATGTTGAAATCACACAAAGGAAATATTTCATTACAGTTATAAAGTTGCCTTACCTGGTCTGTCCCACTAGAAAGTCCCTAGTTGTAGAATTATAAGTTTGTTGGCTGCTTCTGATTGATTGAGCTTAAGTTCTGTTTTTCCTTAATATAGGCACTACAAGAAAAACAGCTCAAATTACATTTCACTTCTGTTTGCAAATCAAGCAAAGCTAAGGTCACTTATGAGGCTTCACTGGGTTTGTCCCCACAGCGATTCTTCAGGCCTAGACTCCATTTTAATTCACTTTAACACAGCTAAGATTCACTATGTATGTTGTCTAAGACTATTTTCACGCTACAGTGGCAGAGTGGAGTGGTTGCAATAGAGACCGTATGGTCCACAAGCGTAAAATACTTAACATCTGGCACTTTACAGAAAAGTTTACCAATCCACACATTAATGAGTTGAATGGCCTAATGCCCTTTGCTGTATTTCAGCCAGATCTATAAGCCATTAGAAGATTTTCACCTTGGAATTTGTAGTATTGACTTTCATCCTAAGCTGAGGCAGGAATGATCCAGAAATTGGGTGACTTGTGCCACTTTGATCCACATGTGCTAATTACACTGTGAATCTTAGAGATTTGTATTGCAGTTTTTTACCCACAGAAAACTAGAGGACTTTATATGAAACAAATAACAAGAAATGATGGCCACTACTATACACACCAGAGATCTAACCTGCACTAAAAAGGTAGACGGAAAGCTGATTGAAATCCTCATTAAAACAAAGGCCCAAAAACCATTAAAGAAAGTCAGTACATGTATGTGATACCTTCACTTGAAGTTTATGTTGACACAGAAGTAGTGCAAATACCTTGGGAATCAGAAATACTGCAGAAAGTTTTAGATGGCAGACTTTTCCACTTTAAGAAATAGTTTGGATGGGGCATGATGGCTCATGCCTGTAATCCCAGCACTTTGGGAGGCTGAGGCAGGAGGATCGCTTGAGCTCAGGAGTTCAAGACCAGCGTTGACAACATGACGAAACTCTGTCTCTGCAAAAACATTAAAAAAAATTAGCTAGGCTTGGAGGCATGCACTTGTAGTCCCAGCTAGCTAGGAAGCTGTGCTTAGGTGGGAGGATCACTTGAGCCCAGGAGGTTGAGGTTGCAGTGAGCTGAGACCATGCCACTGCACTTCAGCCTGGGCAACAGAGAGACTCTGTCTCAAAATAAACAAAAGAAAAAAGAAATTTTTTTTTCTCTAAAAACGACGGAAAACATATAGCTAAAATGTGGCTCAATTTAAATATTTTGGAAAAATGTGTCTGGAAAAGGAGGGAGAGGTTTTAGTGGTTACCAGGTCAGGAAAGTGACTGAGACCCAAAGAAACCTAAGAGATGAAAACTAGAATTGAACCTTAAGAGAGAACTTCCTGAAGAAGAGAACAACAGCATCCAGAAGGACTCCTGATTGGAGCCTGAGAAGGTGAAACGATCATGTTAAAGAGAGTGGGAGGCCAGATGAGGGCAGGAACCCCCATGCTACAAAGGCAGGTAGTAAAGCCCTTCCAGACATGGGAGGCTAAGAAGGAGGCCTCCACCTGACCATACCAGGCTGTGCTCTGAGATGTGAATTTGTCAAAATATATCTACATCAAGAATGATAACTTAGCCAACAGCCTTACTGTGTCCAAATGGAGGTGGTACTACTGGAGACTATCCAGGATGGAGCTCATCTGTGTGATGCTATCCTCAGCCAGAGATGTAGTACAGCACCTTCACGGAGCCCACTCCATTTGTAAAATCACAATTCAAATGCCCACAGTGCCCATAAGCCCTGCTACACAGAGGACAAGACCAATCCATGTGGGAGCAGAAGAAATAACACAATGTTGTTCATGGAACTGGGAAATTGACTTTTCTGACTTCAATGCTTGGAGACAAAAGAATTTAGATTGAATTCCATTTTCACCACACACTTCTATGAAAAGGTTCTTACATTTTGTAAGACTTAGTTTCCTCATTCAAATGGGAAAATACCTACACGCAGGGTTTTTGTCAGGATCAAGTACAAAACTATATGTAAAAATGCTTCATGCCATAGCTGTCATATATGAGCTACTCAATATTCAGCAAATACCATTTCCTTCATATCTTTGTCCTAATAAAAGGAGATGGGAAAAAATTGGTAAACATAAACCTAGATTCTGTACAGAATGTGTCCAAAAGGATGGTGTCCTCTTCCAAATATCACAGCTTTTTATTAAAAACAAAATAAGAGACCAATGTTTACAAGTTATAATTTTGGCAGACACTGTGTCTAATATGGCTTTTCCAAATTTCCCACTAAATTAAAATATCCATGAATTTAAACAAAAAGTCAAAGTGATGACAGTGCTGTAAATAAAAAACATGAAAAAGCCATAGGCCAAAATGCAGGAAGAGTTTCCACTGAATGAGAATGGAATGGCATGCATGTTCTTGGATTACAGAACATAGGTTCCACCCTCTGATTCAGAACCCGGCAGAAGGCCCTAAAGAAGGTAAGACAAATTTTGCCTCAATTCAGAGGAGCAGGGTGTGTGCTACTCAGAAAGATAGGAGCCCATTCGACAAATGCGTAGGAATTTTGTATCAGGCAAAGTCACTGCCATTTCTCTGCTCTCCCATACATTCCTGGACATCACTGAAAGAAGTTGAAGGAAGTGCACAGGTAGAGAAAGTTTATATCCTGGCAAAATTTGTCACCTAAGATTAGATATTGCAAGAGTGGGCATAAAGAGAAGGCACAGTTGGTGCAGGAGGTGAAGTTTCTCATGTTCTGTGTAGTTCAAAGGAGCATTGTAACTGCATCTGAGGCTTTAGTTTAGTCATAGAACCAGTCAATCTGAAAAGAGAAAATATGTGCCTAAGATCTGCAGATTCAGTGCCTACTGGGCATCACACTGAGAAAATAGTGAAAAACAATCTTTAAAAAAAATTTTTTGGGGACAGAATCCTGCTTTGTCACCCAGGCTGGAGTGTAGTGGCACAAACAGAGCTCACTTCAGCCTTGACTTCCTGGGCTCAAGCGATCCTCCCACCTCTGGCTCCAAGTAGCTGCCACCATGTCCGGGTAATTTTTTTGTATTTTTTGTAGAGATGGGATTTCACTTTGTTGCCTGGCTTGTCTCGAACTCCTGAGCCAAGGTGGGAGGATCTCTAGAGCCCAAGAGTTTGAGACCAGCCTGGGTAACATGGTGAGACTCCGTTTCTATTTTTTTATTTAAAAAATTAAAAATTAAATTAAATGTTAAAAATAAATACATGTAAATATTTCGAGAAATAGTGACCAAAAACTTTCCAAATTCAATGAAGAACATTAATGAAAGCAATAAAAAGTACAATGAACTCAAAGTAGGATACAGAGATCCACTCGTAGACACATCAGAGTCAAACTGCTAAAAGCCAAAGATGAAAAAAAAATCATGAAAGCAGCAAGAGCAAAAAAGACTCATCACAGAATGGTTAGAGCATCTGAATCTGGAGTTAATGTTTTTAATCAATAAAGGAGAGAGACCAGTAAGGGTCAATAGATACAGCAACCAGCAGGAGTGGAAAGTAATGCAGCTGGATGGCATGCATTTCAAAGAATAAGTCTTGCTTAGACTTGTTTTGGGTTTAGTTTTTGTTTCAGTAGAAAAGGAGATTAATTGTTGGAAAGTAATGGCAAGCAGGAAGAGCACCTACTTTCACCTTCTGGCCTTGATGTATGTGGGACGTAAGAGAAAAACACTGTTTACGTCAGACATCAGAAGACTTGGGGAGAACTTGACCTCAGGGAATAGCCTGGTTTTAGTCAAGGTAACAAAGACATAAAAACATTAGAGAAAAATTTTGAATTTATAAGGGATGTTGCAGTTCTCAGATAAAAATGATAACACAGTTGTTATATATGAAAGACAGATGAAGGTAAGCCCATTGAAGAATTATAGATACTCCAGAAGAGACAGGAACAGAACAGTAGAAAAAGAAACTAGTAAATTATAGCAAGTAAGAAAAATGCCCTTGGTTATGCAAATATCTGAGTCTGCAGATTAAAAAGATTTGTGAGTTTCATGTAAAATTACATGCAGTATTGAGAAGCAGGTTGCAGAAAGAAGATGTATCCCACACACAAATAAATTTTAGAATTTTTTTTAATTTAAAGGAATAAATACCTACAAGCTTCCAGATTAAAAAAAGTTTACAACACAATTTTATGTGATTGAATTATTATTAATGTGGAAAGTTATAGAAAGATGTTTTCAGATTCAGGGACGTAATAACATATACCTTCTCCCAAGAAAATTATTTGAATAGTCATCTCAGTTGAGCAGAAAATGAAATCAAGAAAGGTCATAATGGAGCCAGGCGTGGTGGCTCATGCTTATAATCCCAGCACTTTGGGAGGCCCAGGTGGGCAGATCATTTCCAGTCAGGAGTTCAAGACCAGCCTGGCCAACATGGGGAAACCCTGTCTCTACTAAAAATACAAAAAAATTAGCTGGCCATGGTCGCGCACACCTGCACCCCCAGCTATTATGGAGGTTGAGGTAGGAGAATTGCTTGAACCCAGGAAACAAAGGTTGCAGTGAGCTGAGACTGTGCCACTGCACTCCAGCCTGGGCAACAGAGTGAGACTCCATCTCAAAAAAGAAAAAAAAAAGAAATGTCATGATGCAATTGATCCTACTATATGGTAATAACTATATTTATAAGAAACCTAGGTTATTTAAAAACACATTATAAAAACAATAATTTAAATAGAAAATCTGGATTTAAATCATTTTTTCTACAAAATTCTCACTAATGAAGGCAGCAGAGAGGCATTGCAATTTATAACCATGAAACTTAAACATTACTGAGGAATTCCAGCAACAGATTACAATTAGCTTTGCTAACTAATCACCAATTGTATCACCAATAATAGTTACATATCACAATGACTGTATTAGCCCATTCTCACGCTGCTAATAAAGACATACCCAAGACTGGGTAGTTTATAAAGGAAAGAGGTTTAATTGACTCACAGTTCAGCATGGCGGGGGAAGCCTCAGGAAACTTACAACCATGGTGGAAGGAGAAGCAAACATGTCCTGCTTCACGTGGCAGCAGCAAGAAGAGCTAAGCAAAAGGGGGAAAGCCCCTTATAAAACCGTCAGATCTCATTAGAACTCACTCACTATCATGAGAACAGCATGGGGGTAACCGCCCCCATAATTCAATTACCTCTCACCGGGTCCCTCCCACGACATGTGGGAATTATGGGAACTACAATTCAAGATGAGATTTGGGTGGGGACACAGCCAAACCATATCAACGCCTTATACATATTCTTATTACCATTATCATCCACTGTTGTGATAAATTACACCACTAGAAATAAGTAGTTATATTGTAATGCAAGCATGCTTGCTTTGTTGTTTCTATGAGCACTTGGTGCTGGATCTCTACTGAACTAGATTTATGACCAAAAGTGTTTTGTGCATGTAAAATATGTCCCTCACTTAATACTTTTTAAAAGAACATTCCCTGTAGAAAACATTTCTATAAAAAAGGAGTGGAGGTAATCACGAACATCAAATAAAACAATGAGTGAAGAATAAATAATGGTGAAACTACGATTAAGAATGATACTGATAATATATATTGAATTCTTACTGTGTGCTAGACAGTGTTCTAGTACTGCCCTAGGTTCCTTACCTATATTATTTCATTTAATTCAAATAGCAACCCCATGAGGTTATGTCTTCATTTTATATATGTGGAAGCTAACAAAGTCACACAGCTAGTGAGTAGTGGACATCAAATTCAAACACAAGGAATCTGATTCCAAAGACCACCCGATCATTAGACATGCTCCCTTGAAGCAAAAGCTGGTATCTTAATAATTTGAAAAAATAAAGGATGAAATACATATTCATTAAGCTGAAATACAACCACCAACATAATTTAATACTTTTACTTTGCATGTCATGCCAAAAGATGAAAGCAAACAACTCGTTGTTTATATATAAAAAGGAAAATAAAGAAAACAGGACAAATAAGCTAGACTCCCCTACCAAGAAACATAAAAGAATTCTGCTGAGAAGTCTTCTGATAGATCCACTCCTTCTTCTAACTCTGATCCATTTGTCCAGTGGAACAGTAGTACCAAAAGGTGTTCAGAGCCTGGAAAGTATGTGCTGGGCCATAATCTCTACCGAAGCACATCCCTTCATTTCCTTCTGGAGCAGATGGGAACCAGAGAACCAATGACAAGGAAGAAGGATTGGAGCTCTCTATACACAAGAGACCCATGCAGCCCTGAAGTGTGTGTTCCTAGAAAGACTTGCTATATCAGACAGAACCCCAGAGAGCTATGTCTCTCCCTGAAACTGGGAGTCATAACTCTGGAGTCACAGAAGCATGGAGGCAGACAGCTTTTCCCTGGTGACTCAGCTCAGCATTTTCACTGACTACTCAGTGTGACATTTCACCAGAGCACAGACTGCTGAATCTTCCTTCAGATCTGTTTGTCACTGTTTAGTAGGCCCAAGTGGCTTTATGTGAACCCCAAGATTAATCAAACTATGAGTAGATAAAGGTAAATGTTGACATGCATAAGGGGACCCAAAACTCAAAAGTAAGAATAGCAAGTAGAGTACCTAGACTAGAGAAACCTCTAAAGAAACGGAATTGCTGTTTGAGACAGACGATAATATTAGCAAAAATAATAACAATAGTATGCAGACTTAAGGAGTTCCTATAACAAAATATAATTCCTTATTTTTATATTAAAAGTATCAATAAATAAACTAAAAATGGGATGGTCACTAAGCAAATACATATAATAGAACAAAGTAGCCAATCATGTAAATAGTAAAATCTCCAGAAAGAATGAAAGAAACAGAAAATATGGAAAGGCAATAATAAAAGAAATAGTAGAGAAAAATTATCCTGATTTTGTGCTTTTTCAATTTGCAGACCATATTTTTATGAGTCATGATATTGCTATTTGATACTTATTTAATACAGGAGAAATAGGTGAATATTTTTGAATTTTAGGGATAAGAAGATAACTATTAGCAGAATTGAAAAGCATAATAGAACTTCTGAACTGGTAATGGGAAAACAGAAATGAATAGTAACTTTTAACAACAACCTACTTCCTGCTGACAGGTAGCAAAAGAAGAAAAAATTAAATTAATAACAACAACCAAATAAGAATAAAAAGAAGAAAATATAAGTGAGATACGAACTAAAAATATAGTAATAAATTAATATATTTGGAATAAACCAAGTATCTCAGTGGTATGAATTACCCTACTGAAAGACATAGATACTCAAAATGTAATAAAGAAACAAAAGATAGCTTTCTACTGTTTAAGAGAAACATTCTTAAATCTAAGTGATATAAAAGAACGGGGAAAACACTAAGATAAGTAAAGCAACCACGCGCAAAAGCAAACAGAAAGCAGATCTGTCTGCTTGTTTCTTTAAGGTTAAACACTTCAAAGACAGCAAAAAGAGAGGTGTGTAATGATAAAGGGTGAAATTTATGAAGGAGATTTGTCAGAAATAAATCCAAGTGCAACAAAACCAAAATTATTAGAAATTCAAAAATAACTTGATTAAAAATTTCATTCTTGCAGGCTATTTTAATATCACTTTTTCATAGATCTAGCAGACAACACGTAATCTGATCAACAAAAGTGTGTGTGTTTGCATGTGTGTGTGTGTGCACGCGCGCGCGTGTGTGTGTGTGTACCCTAAAAATTGGGAATAAGCTTTTTCCGCATCCAATGAACATTCACAAAAATTATAAAAATCTGATACTTGGCTGAAATTTTTTTCTTAGAGATTTTACAGGTCACATTCTCTGATGAAAATTATATAAAATTTCACTAAGAGATAGTATATGAAATTACAGTAAGAGTAAGATAGCAGTAAGAGAAATTTAATATAGTTAAAAGGTGAAATTAATTTTTAAAAAATCAAAAATAGTAGGAAGCACACACAAAATTTCTAAAGCAGCTTCTTTGAAAAGAGTAGAAGACAACTAATAAAATGAAAACGGATAAAATCTATAAAAAACCAATAAACCAATTAAAACAAAAAATACAATAATGTAATTGAAGTAGTATACAAAACAATACATAAACACAAATCAAATGAGAATAGGATTTAAAGCAAATATTATGTTCTATTCTACAGCCACAAGTTTGTAAACGAGAAGGAAATGAATGATTTTCTAGCAAACCCAAATTACCAAAATCAAGTCATGAAGTAGAAACATGAATATATTAATTTCCAAGGAAGACATATGAAATAAATTAATAAGCTTTGCCATGGTACCAATCAGAGTAACTTACTTATTACAAGAGATAAACCCAGAAACCTCAGTGCGTTAGTAAATGGAAGTATATATCTTAGCTACATCAATTCTAAACAGGTGTGATTAACTCCCCCAAGCAATGTTTCAGGGCCACTTGCTCTTTCATCTTGTAAACTAGATCTGCCGTTCTCTAGACCCTGGTAGATGTTTGCTACCCTCTGCATTTGGCAGGAAGGCAATGGAAGAAAAGAACATGAAGAATCAGATAGGAAGTTTATTTATGGGCCAGCCTTAAAAATGACTTACATAAATTCTGCCTACATTTCTGGGCCAGAACCCAGTCTTGGGCCACATTTAAGGCAGCAGGCAAAGGAAGCTGCAAAATCATCTGTGTGCCAGGGAGAGAAGAGAAAAGGCTGTAGTAAACAACTAGCAAATCTTCTAATATATTCTGGTAAAGAAAGTGGCTGGGTTCACACCTTCTTATCATTAAAGAATTGATAATCCCAGGGATGTGCTGGAGATTCTTAGAACAGTGGATAGGAGCTAATTGTGTCTTTTCCCAACTCCAGGTACAGTGACATTACATTGACGGCTATGATGAAAGTGTTTACACCACAGTAATTGGCATTCACTACCAACTAGGGCAATTCACCCATATCCCCCAGCCCTGAGAGCTGGTTACTTGAAACACCACCATACTACTGCATAATTCAAATACTGTTTAAGTTATTCTAAACCATAGTAAAAGTAACTATATATAGATCACCATCTCTAATTAATATAGATTCAAATCTAACTAGAATATTAACAAATCAAAACCCCTCTGGGATTATGCTCCTAAACAAGATCAATTTTCATTTCCTTCCTAGGGAAGAGAAAGTGGTAACTCTCAAGACACAGGACAAAAGAGGAACTATAAAGAGCATCTCAGATAAGCATTTCAGGAAGCAAAGCATCAATTTCAAAGTGTCTACATAGAGACAAGAACCAAATGTGGAGTGAAGAGTTCAGACAATATGGAGTAAACAGGCAGGAGAGAGAAAATGGGAGGTTTATCCAATTATCCACACAAGAGGAGGGAGCCCTTTATAACTTGCCTGTGGCTGAACATGTCAGTATCAAGGAAGCCCAGCCAACCGATGTCCTCAAAAGGCTCTCTCCTACCAAAAAAGAGACTTCTCTGGTTCACCTGGGAAAGTCATGAATAACTCCCTGAAGAGTTCCAAACTGTAGATGATAAAAGTCTTTGATGATTTCTCCAAATTTTCCTCCTCCTCCTAGGCTACCTGTAGGAGCTGACCGTGGTGATACTGGGTCCAGTGGCTTCTGTGATATTCTACAGTTCACTGTACCTCTAGGCAATTTCTGGAGCACAGTGGGAAATGTAAGGTCTCACTGCATCAGAAATATGGAATTTCAAATTTTCAACTCCATTAATACTGTTATATAAGGCCTTGGCAAAAAAATAGGGCAGAAAAGATAAATACGCTTTTTGAAAAGGGGATAAAAATTATCACCATTTGCATTTGATATAACGGTATACTCTGAAATCCCAGGAATATTAACTGAAAAGGTGTTTTTAAAAACTAAATAGTTTATAAAACAAAATAGAAAATCTGGGGTAAGAGAATGAAGATTTATACAACAAAATCAAGCAAGACAGAAGAGAAATGAAGTGAGAAAACAGTCAAGACTGTGCCATATCATGAAAGCCAAAAAAATCTTTGAAGGGAAGCCATAAGTAGTATTAGAGTCTATAAAAAACATCATGAGAACAATAACTATGGGTGATGCCACTTATCTGAACCCAGGTGCCATAAAACTCCTGGATGTGAAAGACTTGCTATCTTCTTGCCAATCCTTCAAGACTTCAGGGCCCCCTCCATTGATGATTTAAATGTTAGATAAAGGCAAACAGTCACGCTCCCCTTGTAAAATCAGGAAACAAATGTTCTACTTTTACATAACATCACTGAAAAATTCTCTCATTTTGCAGGGCATATATACCAATGATGGATAAGACATTTGCCAAAGTCTAGAGAATTATGGCACTAAAGTGCTGATTCTTCCAGTTGAGGAGAAATAATTTGACACCTCTGGAGCAGCATACTTGTTCCACAATCTAAGCCATTCAAGCACATTTCGAAACATCTCAGTCAGCAATATGCACACTGAATACCCCTCTCCACATTGGAACAGTTCTTTCTCCTCTCTGATGTGGCCTTGCAGATATGCTCTGTGGTATCACTGTTAAGCTTTCCATTTATTTTTCCACATTCACCTACAAAGAAAAAATTACTCTCCTTGCTTGCCCGTCCAAATTATCTGAGAATGCTTTTAACAGCTCTCAAAATTGTAGAAAGATGACTTCATAATACAGCCGCAAAATAGACTGACCATCTAGAGGAGAGAAGCAATTTTCTATTTTAGGCTTATAAAGGAACATCTTACTAATTTAGGTTATAATAAATGCCACCATTTATAAATATTTTTGTTTTGAGATCCCCTGAAACATTATTTTAAATATAACATTTCAGCATGTTTGATCAAGTTATTTTGTGTGTCCACCTTCTCAACTGTATGATTTTAATATTCTCTTTCAAAGCAGACCTATAGGAATGCTACCATGTCAATTCAATTTTGAACAACTCGTAAAATATGAGCCCACATCTTGTGTCAAAATATCACTTTCAGATATTCTGAGCACTAAACAAATCAATTAAATTATGGTTATAATCACAAAAAAATGCTGCCTAAGCCTATAATTTTATTAGATAACTCTAAGCAGAGAGTTAAAGTGACATGTTCCTTTTCGGGGATCCACAGTGAAAGATACATTAGTTGTAAAATTGCGTTTTGAGAAAGGATAGATATGAGGAAAAGCTTTCTGTAGTAACGAGAAATTATTTGTCATCAACCATTTTTAATTAAATTTTATTTTTGTCTACATGCACCATGTTTAAATAAGTAAAACATCTACATGACTCAAAAGTAAAGACTTTATATTTACAAAAGGTATATTCTGAGAAGTCATCCCTTTGTCTACTCTCCCATCCAGTTGTCACTCTAAAGATAGTTAACTATTTTCTTTAGCTGATGGTTTACCAATCCTTTATTTCTTTCTTGTAAAAATAGTCATATAAGTGTATAAACATATACATGATGCTTTCTTATACAAACTGTAGTGTACTCTATCTATCATTTTGCCCCTTGAATTTTTTCACTTAATAAATACTGAAAATTGTTCCATGTTAGGTCATAGAGATTTTCATTTTTCTCTTTGTTTTTGCTTTTTTGTATGACTTATGGTACATTGTGTGGCGGTACCATGGTCTAGTTCATCAATTTCCTAAACACAGGCATTTAGGTTGTTCCAAATATTTTGTTATTGGAGATGTCTCTGCTATGTATGTTATTTTGTATTATGGGTGGGGTGGGGGTGTTTCCTGAGGGTAAATTTCTAAAGTACAGTTAGTAAGTCAAGAAGTAAATACATAGTTTTGAGATATGGTAATATTCAACTCTCCAACTAGAAAGTATTCTTGTAAAACAAATGAACAAACAAATGAAGAAATCTAATTGCCTCAAATATAACTACTAGTTTACATAATATACACAGAATGGAGGAGCATTTTAATGACATCACAGTAATGCAATCATGAAAATCCAAAATGCAGACACTTGAACAAATAATCTGTTTTCCCCAACTAATAAATTGCTAGAAAAACAAAGTGAGTACTAGGAGGGAACCTACAGAATACAAGATAATTAGACATAGAAACTAAATTTAATGTGTAAATCTTGTTTGGATCCTGTATCAAACAAACTGACTGGAAACACACACATTTATGTGTTTATGTATAAATATAAATATATCTAATATATAGTGCAAACATATTTTGTATCATACATAAATGCACATATAAAATACAATTAGAAACAACAGATGCTGGAGAGGATGTGGAGAAATAGGGATGCTTTTACACTGTTGGTGGAAGTGTAAATTAGTTCAACCATTGTGGAAGACAGTGTGGAGATTCCTCAAGGATCTAGAACCAGAAATACCATTTGACCCAGTAATCCCATTACTGGATATATACCCAAAGGATTATAAATCATTCTGCTATAAAGACACATGCACATTTATGTTTATTGTGTCACTGTTCACAATAGCAAAGACTTGGAACCAACCCAAATGCCCATCAATGATAGACTGGATAAAGAAAATGTGGCACATATATACTATGGAATACTATGCAGCCATAAAAAATGATGAGTTCATGTCCTTTGCGGGGACATGGATGATGCTGGAAACCATCATTCTCAGCAAACTAACACAGGAACAGAAAACCAAACACCACATGTTCTCACTCATAAGTGGGAGTTGATCAGTGAGAACACATGGACACAGGGAGGGGAACATCACACACTGGGGCCTGTCAGGGGGTGTGGGGCTAGAAGAGGGATAGCTTTAGGAGAAATACCTAATGTAGATGATGGGTTGATGGGTGCAGTAAACCACCATGGCACGCGTATACCTATGTAACAAACTTGCACATTCTGCACATGTACCCCAGAACTTAAAGTATAATTTAAAAAATGCAATTAGAGAAATCTGAACTCTGGATATTTGATGATATTAAGAATTTAATGTTAATTTGATAATATTAATGAACAATTGTTCATTGTTAATGGTGATACTTATTACAAGCATACCTTGGAGATACTGAGGGTTTGGTTCCAGTCCACTGCAATAAAGTGAGTATCATAATAAAACAACTCCTTAATCCATGGGATTCAGAATGGATGTTGTATTGGCTGACATGAAAACAACAATAATCTCCTTGTACATTTCCATCAGAGCTCTTGGTTGACCAGCTGCATTATCAATGAGCAGTAATATTTTAAAAGAATTTTTTTCCCCAAGCAGTAGGTCTCAACAATTGACTTAAAATATTCAGTAAGCCATGCTGCAAACAGATGTGCTGTCATCCAGGCTTTGCTGCTTACCTCATAGAGTACAGGCAGAGTAGGTTTAGCACAATTCTTCAGGGTCCTATGATTTTCAGGACAGTAAATGAGCTTCGTTTCTACTTAAAGTCACCAGATGCATTAGTCAGCCTGTCCTTTGAAGCTTTGAAGACAGGCATTAACTTCTCCTCTCTAGCTAGGAAAGTTGTAGACAGCATCTCCTTCCATTAAAAGGCTCTTTCTTCTACATTGAAAATCCATTATTTAGTGTAGCCACCGTCTTGAATGATCTTACCCAGATCTTCTGGATTACTTACTGCAGCTTCTCCATCAGAACTTACTGCTCCATCTTGCACTTTTTAAAAAATTTTTGATTTCCATAGGTTTTTGGGTAACAGGTGGTATTTGGTTACATTTTGGGGCACCCATCACCCAAGCAGTATACATTGAACCCAGTTTGTAGTCTTTTATTCCTCACACCCCTCCCACCCTTTCCCCTGAGGCCCTGAAGTCCATTGTATCATTCTTATGCCTTTGCATCCTCATAGCTTAGCTCTCACTTATGAATGAGAAGATATGATACTTGGTTTTCCATTCCTGAGTTACTTTCCATAGAACCACAGTCTGGTTTCATCCAGGTTGCTGCAAATGCCATTAATTCATTCCTTTTTATGGCTAAGTAGCATTCCACTGTATAGATATATATACCACAATTTCTTCATCCACTCATTGATTGATGAGCATTTGGACTGGTTCCATATTTTTGCAATTGTGAATTGTGCTGCTAAAAACATGCAAGTGCAAGTATCTTTTTTGTATAATGACTTATATTTCTCTGGGTAGATACCCAGAAGTGGTATTGCTGGATCAAATGGTAGATCTACTTTTAGTCCTTTAAGGAATCTCCACACTGTTTTCCATAGTGGTTGTACTAAATTCCCACCAGCAGTGTAGAAGTGTTCCCTGTTCACCACATTCATGCACACATCAATTATTTTTTGATTTTTTGATTATGGCCATTCTTGCAGGAGTAAGGTGGTATTGCACTGTGGTTTTGATTTGCATGTCCCCAATCATTAGTGATGTTGAGCATTTTTTCATGTTTAATGGCCATTTGTACATCATCTTTTGAGAATTGTTTATTCATGTCCTTAGCCCACTTTTTGATGGGATTCTTTGTTCTTCTTACTAATTTGTTTGAGTTTGTGGTAGATTCTGGACATTAGTCCTTTGTCAGATGTATAGATTGTGAAGATTTTCTCCCATTCTGTGGGTTGTCTGCTTAATCTGCTGCCTTCCTTTTGCTGTGCAGAAGCTATTTAGTTTAATTAAGCACTTTTATGTTATGAAGATGGCTTCTTTCCTTCAACCTCATGAACCACCCTCTGCTAAATCAACTTCAACCTTTTCTTCTGCAGCTTCTTCACTCTTCTCAGCCTTCGTAAAAGAGAGTTAGGGTCATGCTCTAGATTAAGCTTTGGCTGAAGGGAATGTTGTGGCTGGTTTGATCTTCTATCCAGAAGAGTCAAACTTTCACCATATCAGCAATAAGCCTGTTTTGCTTTCTTATCATTCATACATTTACTGGAGTAACACTTTTAATTTCCCTCAAGAATTCTTCCTTTGCATTCACAACTTCGCTTGCCAGCACAAAAGGCCTAGATTTTGTCATATCTTGGCTTTTGACGTGTCTTCCTTGCTAGGATTGATTATTTCTAGCTGTTGATTTAAAGTGAGAAATGTGCATCTCTTCCTTTCACTTGAACATTTAGGTGACATGGTAGAGTTATTAATTGGCCTAACTCCAATATTGTATGTCTTAGAAAATACAGAGACCTGAGGAGAGGGAGAGAGATGGGGCAATGGCCAGTCAGTGGAGCACTCAGATCACATACAACATTAATCAATTAAGTCACCATCTTAAATGGGTGTGGTTCCTGTCACCCCAAAACAATCATAATAGTAACATCGAAGATCGCTGATCACAGATCTCCATAACAGATAAAATAATAGTGAAAAAGTTTGCAATATTGTGAGAATTGCCAAGATGTGACACAGAGATATGCAGTGAACACATGCTGATGGAAAAACGGCAGCAATATACTAGCTAGACAGAGAGTTACCACAAACTTTTAACTTTTAAAAAATGCAATATGTGTGAAGCACAATAAAGCAAAGTGCAATGAAAAAAGGCATGCTTGTATTTAATGATATTTTAAAGGAACCCTTATTTTTAGAGCTACATACTGACATATTTATGGATGAAATTATATAATATCTTAGGTTAGCTTCAAAAAAAACCAGGATGTTGTGAGCAGCAGCCTTCCCACATAATTAACAGAAGGCTGAGCAGATACAAGCATTCATTAATCCTCACCATGCTTTTGTCTATATAGTGCAAGTCTTCGCTTATGCTGCTCTCTCCCTTATTCACCTGGAAAATTCCTACTTATCCTCAAAGATCCCCTCAAATGATACTTCCTCTGCAGTCTTCCCCAATCCTGTCTGTCAGGATACAGCAGATACATTTGGTGCCCAGCTGAGATCCCCTTGAAGCTCTCTTTCCATTTCTACACATCAGTCCCCCAGCTCCTGCACAGTTTTGCTTATAACAGTCCTGTCCCTGCACCCAAGACCCTTTTGGGAGTCTGCCCTTGGGCTGCTGGAGTTACTCTGCCTGCATCTAGAGAGATAGAGAGTGCTTGGGAGTTTATGTCTTCCCCCTGTAGGGTAGCTCATAGTCAATAACTGCTTGATGCAGAGTATGAAAGCCTCATGCCCTTTGTCTCCAGTTGAACATACTCTGAGGTGTTATTTAAACTCTGCAACTTCCCTACAGTATCAGACTAAGACTGCAACTTTGCCTAACATTTGCACACTTTCTCAGTTTCTTTTCCTTCCTTGTCCTACTTTCTCCATGCCTTTATTAGCTTTTCCTGGGAGCACTTCCTTAACTGATCATTTATGTAAAAATCCTTGCCTTAAGATCTGCTTCCGGGGAATCCACCTTTTGACATAAGGTAAACTACTTCTTCAGCTATGTATTATCATAGTCACTGTCATAACATTATATGACAGCTACAACATATGTCATCATATCATAACATTATCATGATAGTTGTAACAACTATTTTTCTCCATTACAGATAGCTATTTCATTGTGTTCACAGCAAGTTTATGAACTTCTCAAGCATAGGAACCATGTGATATACTTTTATGTCCTCAGCATATGGCTCAGACCCTTGCACATTGTAGGTGATCAATACTTGTTGAATAAACAAGTGGATTAATGAACCAACTCTTTTTTTTTTCTTTTTCTTTTTCTTTTTTTGAGACAGAGTCTCACTCTGTTGCCCAGGCTGGAGTGCAGTGGCACAATTTCGGAACACTGCAACCTCCTCCTCCCGGGTTCAAGCATTTCTCCTGTCTCAGCCTCCCAAGTAGCTGGGACTACAGGCGTGAGCCACCATGCCCGGCTAATTTTTTTTTTTTTTTTTGAATTTTTAGTAGAGATGGGATTTTGCCATGTTGCCCAGGATAGTCTCAAACTCCTGAGCTCAGGTAGTCCGCCTGCCTCAGCCTCCCAAAGTGCTAGGATTACAGGCGCGAGCCACTGCTCCTGGCCTCAACTCTTCATATGCATTTGAGAGTCATCATAAATAATAAATGGAACAATTGTTTTGGAAATTACTTTTAATAGTGAAATAGAATTTGGGGTTTTCCTCTTTGCTATAAGCAACATAAATGTAAATTCTTTCTTTCATTCTATTCACAGCTTAATCTTCATCTTCACATACTGATGTTTATCCAAAAGTGAAGCTTTCAGAATAGGTTTCCCAACAGCCCAGTTTCTCTCTCCATTTCCCTCCCTCTCAAGTAGACTCACACAGAGGTTCCTGGCCTTCTTACAGAGTTCCCCATCCCTCGACTCCAATATCATCCCTATCATCCCCCCATCTGTCTCCCATTTGGCAGCCCATATGTAGCAGTACCCTTCTTTTCCCCAGAGGAACAGCCAGTCCCTGCTGCTGAACAGTTTGTGACAACACAACTCCAGATCATGGAATGGTCAGCTCTGGGTATAAGCACTGGTTCACCAAACTATAATGGAAGCAGAGAATAAAATAGAACAGTGGAAGCCATTGGTGAGGAGAGTGTAAGAATGGAGCCCTGTAATGGGGTCCTGTGAGGCAAAAGGAGAGAAATGGTGGGAACACCTCCATTTGGAGGATTTATAAATTCAGGCCTCGGACCTAAGATTGGAAAAGGCAGTGACTTCAGTTTATACAACATGTGAGAGCCCTGGTAGCTCTTATTAATGATGTGTTTTGGCTTTGATCTTGATAATATTTTTATCCTATAACACAACTATCATCAGATCACTCTTTGATTTGATGGAGGAAGGAGATAAAGAACATTGCACACCCTTTTAAAAGATGAGATGTAGGAGGCAGAGGAACTGAGATACCAGTGACTTTATTTTTCACTTTTTCCTCTCAGTCCCTCTCTCAATACTCTGTGCATTCTCAAACTTGTGCTGTCCATGAGATTCCCAATTACCACTTGCCATCTAGCATCTAGTCTTTCCTTCTTACTTTGGAAAATGTAACAAATGTTTATAGCATTGTAATTTATATACAAACTTTACTTTTTCACTTTCAAAGTTTTATACCTTATATAAACTTGTTTAAATTGTTCCATCAGTATTTTTTTTCTTTCTATCTATGAAAATTGTGCATTTGAGGTTAAGATAAAACAAATCAAAGTTTTTCCATTGAAACAAATGAAAATAATTTCTTATTTAACAGCTTTGAACTTAATAGCAATGTTTTGGAAATAAATTAATTCATGAACTTGTTTAAATTGTTCCATTAATATTTTTTTCTTTCTATCTTTGAAAATTGTACATTTGGGATTAAGAAAAAACAAATCAAATTTTTTCCATTAAAATAAATGGAAATAATTTCTTATTTAACAGTTTTGAACTTAACAGCAGTGTTTTGGGAAATAAATTAATTTGTAAAGTAAAGGCTAGGTGTACTAGTTTATCCCTCCCACTAGACTCGTAAATTCCATGTGTGACTCATAGTTAACACCAAACAAGATTTCTTGAATAAAATAAAATTTTAAAATATTAGTTACTATTAACAAACTTAGTTACTTAGCAAAAGCTATTAGCTTTGGAAATAAGTGGATTATAAGTCTAAAGGCAAAGGAACTGCATGTAAGCACTGTACTTTAGTTAGTAAAGTTGTTTCCCATGGGAGCATGGGTTGACTATTCTGAAACCACTATATGTATATACTGAAATTGGATAATTAAACATAGATGGTGGATAATTTCATTAACAATTTAACTAGTGCCAGCTCCCTTTTTACATCTGCAGAAGATGTGATTTAGGTGGTGTAACAATCTAAGACTGACAGGACATAGATTGCACACCCAAACAACATTGTTAAGCAGAGTTAATGAAGAGACTATCTATGGTGATGAGGCCAGGACTGAAAAAAAATAATAATAACAGAAGTAGAAACACCAAGAGGCTAGCAACAGCAAGGGTCTGTATCCCTGAAGAGAAAAGGGAATCTCAGATAAGGCTGTGGCTCTAGCAGAGGCTGTAGGAGAGGACCACTGATGGAAACAGTGCCTTCATTAGAGGAAGGCAACCAGTGCCAAGTCCTGGCCAGGAAGGAAGTTGGCTGCAAGGAAAATACTCCAGTCCCTCCCCCCACCACCCTCAAGCCTCCTGCCAGTGGCTCTCATTGGCCAAATGCAAATGAAAGAGAACAAGGAAAGATTCCAGTTGATGAATTCCATATAAATCAATCTCCTGGGCACAGAGAAAAGTGGAAAAGGGTGGAGTGCAGATCTAGCAGGACAAATAGAGAATAACAAGCACATGATTAATCTAATACAGAAAATTGGCTGAGCACACCAAAGACCAAGCCCATTTCTTTCATAAATTTTTCAACTGTTTAACTCTATTTATCTCTGTATCTGGATGAATCAAGTCTTTGGACAGAGGTGTTTTGGGGTTGACTGGTCATAGCTTAGAAGGCATAATACCTAAATAGCTAACTATATGACTGTGTGATATGGAATATTTAAAGAAGCTTCTATCCACCCCAACTGTCCACTGGCAAATTCTGAATACCAGTGTACTTTTAATCATGAGGTCTGAATAAAAAGACAAATACTTTTCATGACCTTGACAGATAGATTGAGATCTTTTTATAAAAAGCTTCAAAACCTATTTAAACTTTTTGTTTGCCATAAAGATCTAGCTAAACTTCCATTTCTCACTCCGTCCCCTTTGTTTTTGCCTAGATGGGGTGAGATGAAAGGAGTTAACTTCACTAAACTCATCTCTTTTGATAAAGACTGAAGACCTTGATCAGGTTTCTTTCTAATACTGTTAATCCAAATTGTCCCACAGCATAAGCTTGTTCTCAAAACAGTTGAAGCTGAATGTTGTTCAGCATTTAAACTGAATCACCACTTGTTTTTAACCAAAGTTATTTTTATTTCAGCCAATTGCCCTTTAAACACTAAACTCAAAGGAAAGTTTGAATTTCAAAAGTAAGAATTGCTCTGACTATAGTGTGCAAGACTTTTGGTCCTCCTCTTCCAGTTTGGCTAGCCTTTCATTTCTCTCTCCTAGCACTTCTGAGAACGAAGAAACTGTATATCTTCATTGTTTAAGATAATCCTCATGCCTCATCACTTGAAGTATATTGTTGCCTAACAAAGACCTACCTTCCCACATTTGTATTTACCTGCTTGTTTTACATCTTCTAACCAGCCAAATAGATGATGGTCACTGTACATTCATATAGATGGGTATACCACCATACTTCTAAGAAATGCTTTCTCCTGAAGGCAGAATTCTGCTGGTGCCTGTTCTAACAATCCAAAGAAATTAAAGGAATTTTCTATCCAAATGAGTACTGACTCTCCATGTTTATTGAATTTGACTGTTTACTCAAGATATGGGTGTCAAACCAGCCTATTTGTATGAAACACATTAGAGTAACTACCAGCCAGTATCAACCTGTTCAGAGATTTGAAGGGGAATAAAAGGAATCTACAAGTTTATATGAGCTTTTGTGGAAAATGTAAATGATTTGAGAATATTTTTAAGGCAGTGTGGTACAGTGAGAACACTGAACTCGATTCAGGTGATCTCAACTCCAGTCTCCATTATGCCACCAAAAGGCTGTGGAACCAGTGGTAACCCAATGAATGTCTAAAACCCTTAATTTTGTTATTTATAAAATGGGAACAATACATTTTTGACAAGATTATTATTACAATTAAATGAGATTGTATGTATAAAGGACATTTATACAGCATATATGAACATGCTATGTAATGTAAGGAGGGAAATTAAATCAAGCATGTCCCTATCTACTTCTCCTACTTAAAATCTATAGAAAGAACAGAGAAGATGCCTCTCAAATCCACAACTCCTCCAGGAAACAAGAAAAAGGTTCAATAATGGCCCAGAAATTTGGAGGAGTTCCCTGAAAGGTTAAAAGCTGGTAGGATCAGATTAATAAAATAAGCCACACTCCAGAGCTTACATATGAAAAAAAAAGTAAATGAAAAAGGGTAGGAGGAGTTCAGGGAATTCTACATATTTAGAATTAAAAATTTAAGGAGCAGAAGGATTCTCTATAAAAACCATCTGGGGTACTGGCTACCAAACAGCATTCATAGTGCATAGGCAGATAAAGCTTCTCCCCTAACTTGTGCTAAGCAAGCACTGAATAGGACAGTGTGGGTACTTGGAGCAGAGAAATCATAGACAGTTGGTCATACTCATATTG
Source organism: Homo sapiens (assembly GCF_000001405.40). NCBI lineage: Eukaryota > Metazoa > Chordata > Mammalia > Primates > Hominidae > Homo > Homo sapiens. Next base: position 28,728,300 of record NC_000012.12, on the reverse strand, counting down.
AATAGGGATTCTCCACTACTGAAATGGACACTTTGTTCTGACAATGATCTTCTCTTTGGCCACAATCACAGAAGCAAGCTATGTGAACCAGAAAAAGCATTCTTTATCAGGTGAACAGAGACCACAAGTACAAAGAAAAACACAACAAAGCAAGAAGATGCAAGCCTGAATAAGAGGCATATAACTCAACATATAGAAGAGCATTTTTCAACCTTAAAATCACCTGAAAACCTTTTTTTTAACTTTGATGTCCAGACTAAGCCATAAATTAATTAAATATCTGGGATGGATCCAAAGCATCAGTATTTTTAAATAGTTATCAGTAGATTCCATTGTATAGCTGAGATTATTATTAGAAGAACAGATATCCTAGAAAATACACAGACATCCCACATTTTATTGCACTTCACATTATTGTGCTTCTCACATACTGCATTGTCCACAAATCGAATGTTTGTGGCAACCCTGTTTCAAGCTAGTCTATTGGCGCCATTTTTTAAAATAGCTTGTGCTTCCTTCTGTGGCACATTTTGGTAATTATCAAGATATTTCAAATTTTTTCCTTATTATTCTACCCATTATGGGGATCTATGATCAATGATACTTCATGTTACTATTATAATTGTTTTGGAGTGCCATGAACAGCTCCCATGTAAGACGGCAAACTTAATTGGTAAATATTTGTGTGTGTTCTGACTGCTCCACCAACCAGCCATTCCCCTATCTCTCTCCCTCTCCTCAGGCCTCCTTATTTCCCGAGACACAATAATATCGAAATTAGGCCAATTGATAACCTTAAAATATCCTCTAAGTGTTCAAGTGAAACAAAGAGGCGCATGTGTCTCACTTTAAATCAAAAACTAGAAACGATTAAGCTTAGTGAGGAAGGCATATCAAAAGCGAGATAGGCCAAAAGCTAGGCCTCTTGTGCCAGTTAGCCAAGTTGTGAATGCAAAGGAAAAATTCTTGAAGGAAATTAAAAGTGCTACTGTGGTGAATATATGAATATATGAATGATAAGAGAGCAAAACAGCCTTATTGCTGATATGGAGAATGTTTTAGTGGTCTGGAGAGAAGATCAAACCAATCAACACATTCCCTTAAATCAAAGCCTAATCCAGAACTCTCTTCAATCCTATGAAGGCTGAGACAGGTGAGGCAGCTGCGAAGAAAAGGTTGAAATTAGCAGAGGTTTGTTCACAAGGTTGAAGGAAAGAAGTCGACTCCATAACACAAAAGTGCAAGGTGAAGCAGCAAGTGCTGATGGAGAAGTTGCTAGTGATCCAGCCCCATTCTATTAGAAGAAGATGTCATCTTCCACTTTCCTAGCTAGAGAGAAGTCAATGTCTGGCTCTAACGCTTCAAAGGACAGGCTGATGACTATCTTGTTAGGATCAGATCAATGAAAATAAACCACAGCCCAGAGCTTAAATATGTGGAAAAAGGTAAAAGAAAAGAGATTGGAGGAATTCTGGGACTTCTACACGTTTGGAATTAAGAAACATAAGGAGCAGAAGAAGTCTCTGTAAGAACCATTTAGGTCTGATCCTAATGCAGCTATGACTTTAAATTGAAACCAACACTCATTTACCATTCTGAAAATTCTAGGACCCTTAAGAATGATGATAATTTCTATTCTGTCTGTGTGCTAGAAATAAAACAATGAAGCCTGCATGGCAGCACAATCTCTTTGCTCCAAGGTTTACTGAATATTTTAAGCCACTGTTGAGACCTACTGGTCAGAAAAAATGATTTCTTTCAAAATATCACTGCTCGTTAACAATGCACATAGTCACCCAAGAGCTGTGATGGACCTATGCAAGGAGATTTATGTTGTTTTCCTGCCTGCTAACACAACATCCTTTCTTCGGCCCATGGATTAATGTGTAATTTTTATTTGCACATTTTATTATTTAAGAAATGCATTTGTTACAGCTATAGCTGCCATAGACAGTGATTCCTCTGGTGGAACTGGGTGAAATAAACTGAAAATATTCTGAAGAAAAATTCACCATTCTAGATGAACATTTGTAATTTATGGAAAGAAACAAAATATCAGCATTAACAGGAGTTTGGAAGAAGGCAATTCCATCCCTCATGGATGACTTCGAGGGGTTCAAAACTTCAGTGGAGAAAGTAACTGCAGCTGTGATAGAAACAGCAAGAGAACTAGAGTTAGAAGTGGAGCCCGAAAATGTGACTAAATTGCTCTAATCTCATCATAAAACTGTAAGAGATGTGGCTCACACCTGTAATCCCAGCACTTTGGGAGGCTGAGGCAGGCGGATCATGAGGTCAAGAGATCGAGACCATCTTGGCTAACGCGGTGAAACCCGGTCTCCATTAAGAAATACAAAAAAATTAGCCAAGCGTGGTGGCAGGCACCTGTAGTCCCAGCTACTCGAGAGGCTGAGGCAGGAGAATGGTGTGAACCCGGGAGGCAGAGCTTGCAGTGAGCCGAGATCATGCCACTGCACTCCAGCCTGGGTGACAGAGGAGACTCCATCTAAAAAAAAAAAAAAAAAGCAAAAGAAAACTGTAACAGATGAAGAGTTACTTTTTATCAATGAGGAAGAAAGTTTTCTTGAGATGGAATCTATTCCTCGTGAAAATAGTGTGAATATTATTGAAATAACAACAAAGGACTTAAAGTCATAGAGAAACTTAGCAGATAAATCAGTGGCAGGGTTTGAGAAGATTGACTCCAAATTTGAAGGAAGTTCTAATGTGGGTAAAATGCTATCAAACAGCATCACATGCTATGGAAAACTTTTTTGTGAGTGGAAAAATCAATCACAGTAGCGAACTTCATTGTTGTTTTATTTTAAAAAATTGCTACAACCACCCCAACCTTCAGTTGAAGAGTAAAATAGAGCTGATAGATTAAGCTCCATAAATCTACAGGAATGCAATGTAAAAGGGCAACAAAGAATATGTGGGGCAGAGCTAGAAGACATCAAGGATGATCCAGAATTTTTCACAGCTATCTAGTAATAGTTACAGAAGTAGAGCACGGAAGAAACTGAGGCAAGGATAGAGTTACAGAAACAATAGAAAAAGCTTCCCACAGCTGAAGAAAGCCCAAATCTTCAGATTGAAAGAATCAACCAAGTGCTGAGCAGGATGAATTAATCAAGACCTACATCTTCAGGTATCGAGGATATAAAGTAAATGCTAAAAGTCTTGAGAAAGAAAAAATATGTTGTCTATCAAGTATTGAAAAATAAGACTGTCAACCAAACTTTTTACTGACAGCATTGAATGTAAAAAAAAAAAAAAAAAAAAAAAAAAAAAAAAACAGAACAATTAACTCCCTCATTCTGAGGAAATATAATTTTGAATCTATAGCCTTAGACCCACTTTTTATGCTCAGAATTTCATCATCTACCTAATATGAAGACCTACAGGAAAAACGGTGAATCTAACAGTAAATCTTGTTTGAAAAGCAAGAAATTCAGTAAATCTTAAGTTTAAATAATTGGTGATCATATGTAAAAATAGTAGCATTTGAATCAAAAATTATAAGTTATTTCAACACGGAAGTTCTCAGCAGGAAGTAAAGTCACAATACATATTTTTTTCCATATTTGTGGAAGAAAATAGATACCAATTAAATGAAGACATAATAGAGAAATATAGCTACATCATCGGAAGTTCTTCTCTAACTCTTCAAGTATCCCATCCCCAGTCCCTAAAGCAGAAATTTTTATCTTCTTGGAGATGTTCTGGGAAATTGTTCTAGAAATGTTCCAGGAAGCTTTAGAAAATGTTCTGTCATTCAACCCACTCTGACTTCTCCCCACAGAACTGTGTTATCGATTAAGAGCTATAGGTCCAGTGTCTGGGACCCATGAATATGTTGAAACTGAGGGGGAAGAAAAGTGCTTTCTCCAAAAGAAGAAAGCTGCAAAGTTGAAATTTTAACAAATATATAATCATATGCTTAAAAGCATTCCATATATTAACTTTATTAATTACTAAATGTGATATTGAAAAATTAATTACTTTTGGAAACAATTTATAGATTTCATCAGAATATCTCACTCTGCATAACAATTGCCAAGAAATCACAGCTAAGCATACATTTTAGAATTTATTTAGGGCTAAATATTTTTCAGAACCAAAATCACAAAAGCGTTTTGAAGATTATTTTTAAAAATTATATCTACATTATAGATACATATAAGGGAGTATGTTTAAATCCATTTAATTTGCATATAGGGCCTCCTAAATAAGGATTGCCAGGGTCTGCAAAGTTCTTATTTTTATTTATTTATTTATTTATTTTTGAGACAGAGTCTCGCTCAGTTGCCCAGGCTGGAGTGCAATGGCGCAATCCAGCTCACTGCAACCTCCACTCACTGGTTCAAGTGATTCTCCTGCCTCAGCCTCCCGACTGGGATTACAGGCACCCACCACCATGCCTGGCTAATTTCTGTATTTTTACTAGAAATGGGGTTTCACCACGTTGGCCAGGCTGATTTTGAACTCCTGACATCAAGCGATATGCCTGCCTTAACCTTCCAACGTGCTGGGATTACAGTTTGAGCCACTGTGCCTGGCTGCAAAGGTCTTGAAATAACCTCAGGGTGTTTTATCTAATTCATGAGGCTGGGTAGAAGCTATTAATGGTTCTGTTCATGGCTGGAAGTTGCTCATGCACTCTTTGCTTCCTGCTGCTGTTAAACATTCCTATTTAACCAAGAGGTTAGCTCACCTGGGCAACCCCCTTTCTCTCTGCTTCTCTTCTTACATGGGTATATTCAATTTGTAGGAGAGAGGTGAGAAGCCTTGTTTCAGCCTCAGCATCAGTTTCTTCTCCAATCCACTTTTAATTTCTAACAGGATTCTATGTCTGTTTCTTGGTGAGCCTAAAATCTAAAGAGGAAAAGGGATAAGCAGTTAGCTCACTCAATGTTCTCAATAAACATTTTTACTAAATGCTAAGTGTATTTATAGATACAATAGAAATGTGATATATAATTTTCAAACCATTAGAAGAAAGAAAGAGTAAAGAAAAATCAAATGTTCCGACAAAAAGTCGGAAAAAATACAATCAGAAAGCACAGAAAACAGGAGATATAGAAGATGTCAGGAAAAATGTCAAACAGGTCATTAATTATATGTGCAAATTTTTAGGTATAATTTATAAATTTAACTCAATATGTATCATATATATGATATATATCAGATTAAGTGAATGCAAGTATTATTAGATCTACAGTGACACATTCAACTGTATTTCAGTGAGAGAATTTACACCTGAAATCATATGAAAACAAATTCAAACCAGCTAAATTATTGTATTCATTGTTCTTAATAGAATTGCACATCACAAATTCAGAAGGACTAATCAACAAATATCTGCAATTAGAATTTACTTTAAAAGTATCATAGACTAAATTTTTATTTGGAAGACATAACAATTATATTGCATTTAAAGAGATAGCTCTGGCAAAGAAAAGAAAAACTTAAAACTGGAGGCCTTGTTTTTCTTAACTGTTGTTCTTCTAAAATCTTCACATTTGTGTTGTTGAATCTCTACCACAAAGCAAACTTGGGGAACTACCATAGGTTTTCATTTCAAAGAAATTATGTTTATGCTAAACTGTCCTCATAACTGAACAAATTCCCTAACAACGTGATATATGAAGGTTATTTTGACATAGTTTAGTATCAGCCCTTTGGAATTAGGAAGCACAAGGATTTCAGAAACATTTTGGGATGGTATCCTTGTTCTGCCACTTGCAATATGTGACCTTGAGTAAATTACTTAGATTTTCTGAGCTTCAGTTTCCCCATCTATAAATTAGGTTAGAAACAAACCACCTAAATAGATTTTTTGTAGGAATTAGATGAGATAATGAATACAAAGCAAGTGGACCGTACTTGGCTCACAGTAAGTAGACAGCAAATAGTACTGTATATTAATTTTTAAGGGCTGCTTATCATAACAAAGCATCACAATCAGGGTGGCTTAAACAATAGGAAGTTATTATCTCATGGTTCTGGAGGCTGGAAGTCCAAGATTGAGGTGTCAGCAGGGTTGGTTTCTTCTGAGGGATGTGAGAAAAAATGTTCCATACCTCTCTGCTTGGCTTCAGAGGGCCACCTATTCACTGTCTTCACATCATCTTCTCTCTGAGCATATTTCTGTGTTCAAATTCTCCCTTTGTATAAGGACACCACTCATATTGGAGTAGGGCCCATCCTAAGGACCTCACTTTACTCAGTTACCTCTATTAAGACCCTCTCTTCAAATCAGGTAACATCCTTAGGTGCTGGGGTTAAGATGTCGACTTATGAATTTGGGGAGGGGGACACAATTCAGCCCATAGTTTGTACCTTTCATTATTATTCTATCTAAATGTTAGTATAAAATAGGGAAATTTTTATTTTAAGTCAGGTCAAAACAGGTAAATGGTATGAGAAAAGGATGCAGAGGATCTGAGACTTCCACATAAGAAAAGCAATTTCCTCCCTTGACTCTTTCATCATCTCCCCTCTTTCCACAAAACACTCTGCTTGGGATACCACAAAACCAAGGAAGTTCACTGTAGATGACAGTCCTTGCCCAGTGCAGAACTCAGGGCACTTCTTTGAGTCATCTTGTTAAAGGCTGGCCCTAATTCTATTTGTATATGGCTCAACCTCAAATACCAGCTATAGATGGGTGCTTTAATTTAGGCTAATGAGTGGCATTTGTGGTCATCCTCCCCTGGAGAAACCTGAAACTGCAGTTTCTGGCAAACAGACAGCTATGAGTGTATCTTTAATTAAAGGTTTTCCTTAGGAAAACTGAATGAGTCTTTTCACAGGAGAGAGTTCATTTTAAGAATCTAGGCAATCCTAATATACAGATAAAACAAAAGATAATGTTATTTCATCTGTTTATGAATATCTCTCTCTATTGTGGCAATCTCTTAGCCACGAAATCTAGAGAATTAAAATGTTTTTCCTTGTACAAAGTACCCATCTCTGTGAGAAGAAAATGGTAAAATCCTGGTGCTATTGATGATAAACTTTCTCCTTCTCTACAAATGAGCTGAGAAATTCAGGGCAAAAGCTGCAAATTCAAGCAATGAATTCAGACAGACTTAAATTTCAGATCTGCCCTGGTGGTCAACATATGAGCTGTCTGTATTCAGGGTAAAGCCTTTTTTTTTCCTTCTTTTTTTTGGCAAGAATACTGAGTGTTGGACTATTTGCCTTGCATATTTTTAATACTTGAACCAGCTTATATAGAATATCTTTAAACAGATATGCATTTATCTTCTAAGAACAAAGTACTCACTTGACTGGACAAAAGTGTAGGGAGCAGCTTAGCTCTCAACCCTCCAAGTTGCTAGTAAAGATTATAAAAATTTTCTTTATTCTGTTTTTACTACATTGGTAGAATAAGGAAATGTATGTTAACCTCTCTCAAAATGGGATCTCCCAATGCAAAATTCCTGGAATTTGTTTTGCTGTCCAGACTCCAAACTACAAAATCAGTTTCCCAGTAGATGTACCTCTTACATGTTACACAGAGACAGGGGATGGCTGGAAAGAACACCAACTTTGGATTCACGTAGCCTCAGGTTTTCATCTAATGCCATAATTTATCAGTTATCCCTTTGGGAAAATTGCTTAACCAGTCTGATCATGTTTCTTCATTTCTAAAATGAGCTAACCACCATTGGTGTTTGGGGGTGTAACAACAGCTGTGAAACTCCAACAGCAAAGGTGTCAGTGAGGAAGGAGAGAAAATGCTAATTCTAAGGATAGACAGCTAAAGGGTTGGTAACCTGAGTGCCTTGCTGCTCAGAGGGACATTTTGTCCACAGGCCAAATGGTCAGTACTTGAAGTAAGAGGGAAGGTTACTACTGTTTACTGAGCATCACTACATACCCGAGATCATGGTAGGCACAGTCACATAATGAATCTCATTTGTTTCTCATATGAACCCTAAGGTGGCGATATCATTATCCTGATCACATAAACGCTAAGTAAAGCACATTATTCAAAGCCACAGATACATGAGATATGGAGCCAGGAATTAAAATTGTATCTGTCTGACTCCAAAGCCTATGGTTTTCCATAACACCAACCTGTGTTAAATAATAACTTTAATAATAATAATAAATCTGTTCCTGCAGAGTCTAAAGAGAGGCTGGACCTCTTTTCCCAAAACCATCTTCCCCAGCTCAGGCTTTTCCCAGCTCCCAAGTACCTGCTTCTTAACTGTTGTCAGATACTCCTGATGTTGTGCTTCTCCATCTTCCCAACTTGACCTTTGCCCTCCGCAATCTCTTGTCTGGAATTTTGAGTCACCATTTTGCCTTCACCATCCCGTTGTTCCTTTTTGACTTCTCGTGTTGCCAGGTTTTGATTCTGTCAAGTTATCCCTGGAAAAGTAAGACACAAGGGAAATGTTTGGAGTTCAGAGAAAGGGTTTTTCACCCTGCTCACTCCTACTCTTTTAGACCTCAGCTCTTTCAGAAGATCTACATGAGCACCAGGCCAGCATACGGACTGCCTTACAAGTTCTCCAAATCTGTCCTGCCTATCCCTAACGCAGCCCTTAGCAAACTCTGTTAGATTCTGCTCATTCACTTGACACTATCTCCCACCAGAGTATGAGTTATTGAGGGAAAGTATTTAACATACTCATTATTAGTTCCCCAGAACTTTAGTTTGCACTCTACCCACATACTAAGTACTCAACAAATACTTGTTGAATAAATGAAAAGTTATTGCACGGCATTGAATGAAGCTCAAGAAACATCAGTATAGCTTTAATAGTTTATTTCCACAGATTCCTCATGTAACAAGTGGAGTTATCTTAAAATGGCTTTTGGCGATTCATTTTAAATAATATTAAGACAGTGATCAAAATGTGGAGTATTTTGTAAATGGCAACCTTTAAGAAGTTAAAAGCTAAGTTTAAATCTTTCTTCCAAAATGTATGATATGCTGGCTTTTCCTTGCGATGAAAAAACCATGGTTAGATGATGATAATGTCCTCAGTTTAATTTGAAGAAATGTCCAATTTGTTATCATCTTATTTCCTTCCCTCTTTCTATAATCTTAAAGCATTTTTATTTTACCACTGCCTGTCTTAGGTATTCTCCAAGTAATAGATACAACATTATCCAAAGTTTATTCAAACTTATCTGAACCTTTTGGGGCTAGAAATTAGGTGGGAACTGTTTTCTTCATAAGATTTCTAGTGCTTTTTGGCTTTGAAAGCCTGGAAATGCAACAAGAATAGCTTTTCTTGTGGTATTTTGGTTTCTACTCCCAACCAAAACCAGGAAGTGCAGAGATGCACAAAAATTAAAATAAAGGGGAAAAAGTTAACTCAACTTTTTGAACCTCAAACATGATCCAGGTTCAATTTCAGTTTAAGGCAAAGGTTCAACTAAGATCTTGTTTTATCCAAACCACTTGGAACTTCCACTGAAATGACTGGTGGGCTCACATATGGAATTCTTTTCTAAGGCAAGAAGAAAGGGAATTGCTGGTATATAGAATCATTATATCAATAGGATGTTGTATGGTATTATTGTGATAAGAGAGTTGTTCACAGGATAGTGACTGCAGTGAAAGCAGAGAGTCTTACCAGTCAACTTTTATGTCTCAGAACTCATCTTTAAAAATATATATATATATATTTGTGTGTGTGTGTGTGTGTGTGTGTGTGTGTGTGTGTGTGATCCTTGAATAATGTGAGGGTTAAGGGTGCTGATCCCCCAGGCAGTCAAAAATTTACATGTAATTTTTTGCTCCCTAAATACTTAACTACTAATACCCTACTGTTGACTAGTGTGTGGGTCCACCTATACATACGTTTTCTTCTGCCTCTGCCACCTCTGAGGTAGCAAGACCACCCCCTCCTTTTCCTCTTCGTCCTCAGCCTGCTCAATGTGAAGATGACCTTCATGATGATTCACTTCCCCTCAATAAAATAGTAAATATGCTTTGTCTTCATATGATTTTCTTTTTTTCTTTTTTTTTTTTGAGACAGAGTCTCACTCTGTTGTTCAGGCTGGAGTGCAAGGGCATGATCTCGGCTCACTGCAACCTCTGCCTCCCAGGTTCAAGTGATTCTCCTGCCTTAGCCTCCTGAGTAGCTGGAATTGCAGGCATGTGCCACTATGCCCAGCTAATTTTTGTATTTTTAGTAGAGACAGGGTTTTGCCATGTCGGCCAGGCTGGTCTCGAACTCCTGACTTCAGGTGATCCACCTGCTTCAGCATCCCAAAGTGCTGGGATTACAGGCGTGAGCCACCATGCCCGGCCTTCTGTATGATTTTCTTAATAACATTTTCTTTTCTCTAGCTTACTTCATTAAAAGAATACAATATATAACACATACAACATACAAAACAGTATTAATTGACTGTTCATGTTAGGCTTCTGGTCAACAGTAAGGTCAATTGTATATATTTTATAAGCTATGACTTTAATGAGATGAGCTTTGTCCAGCTGAAATGCAATAAGTTTCCCACTTCTTTGGGAACATGAAAATAAAGAAAAGTTGCTGTGTTACAACTCCTTTTTAGAACCAAAAGTTTGCTTTTGCATTGATTTGATTGGTTAATGAGTCTTAGGAAGACTGTGAGAATTCTGCCTAAACAGTGAAGAAGGGTGACTGAGATTTAAAAAGCAACTGTTCAAACCATTAGGATGGTGGAATGTTGAAATGCTTGAAATTGTAGTTAATGTTTTGAGACTCTAAAGTTTCAGTGAGCACCACATTTTATCCATATACAGCCAAGAACAGAAGAGCAGTAGGGATTTATGAATGGTAAAAAAACCAAGTTTGCTATAAACTGCAAGTGGATAAAAACAAGATTCAAACACTCTGGAATAATTGGTATCCTAAGACGAGTCTTCGGGTTAGATTTATTAGCTGCTCTATTACTGGAGAACAACTCGACTACAGGAACCTATTTCCCTGATAAATGCCAAAGGAAATAAGTAGGGCTATTTTTCTCTTAGAATGTGTCTACATGAAACAGGAGTTGGCCAAACAAGCCAACTTAGTCAATTCACTTGAAGAATGTCCATCAAAACATTTGCTTGACACTGATTTTAGTGATTTCACTTTTCTTTTTTTTTTTAAGCATATTTTAAGTTCTAGGATACACATGAGGAATGTCCAGGTTTCTTACATAGGTATACATGTGCCATGTGGTTTGTTGTACCCATCAACCTGTCATCCACATTAGGTATTTCTCCTAATGCTATCCCTCCCCTAGCCACACACCCCCTGACAGGCCCCAGTGTGTAATGTTCCCCTCCCTGTGTGCATGTGTTTTCATTGATCAGCTCCCACTTATGAGTGATAAAACATGGTATTTGGTTTTCTGTTCCTGTGTTAGTTTGCCGAGAATGATGGTTTCCAGTGTCATCCATGTCCCTGCAAAGGACATGAACTCATTCTTTTTATGGCTGCATAGTATTCCATGGTATATATGTGCCACATTTTCTTTATCCAGTCTATCATTGATGGGCATTTGGGTGGGTTCCAAGTCTTTGCTATTGTGAATAGTGCTGCAATAAAAATATGCATGCATGTATCCTTATAGTAGAATGATTTATAACCCTTTGGGTATATACCCAGTAATGGGGTTGCTGGGTCAAATGGTATTTCTGGTTCTAGATCCTTGAAGAATTGCCACACTGTCTTCCACAATGGTTGAACTAATTTACACTCCTACCAACAGTGTAAAAGCATTCCTATTTCTCCACGTTCTCTCCGGCATCTGTTGTTTCCTGACTTAGTTGAATTGGTGTCACTTAGACTCTACCACAATCAAATGCCTACACAGAATGATGTTATATTAAGAAAAAAAGATCTAAAATTTGAATCTTAGTTGAGTTTTAATGCCCTTGCAAAAGGATACTGATAAAATTGCCTCAGTTATCCATCAAATATTAGCCTCAGTACAAATGCCTCCTGAGCTTACTTTGTTATTACATTCCTGATATTTCGACCATAGTCATTCTCCCAAAATATTTAAGTGATGCGTGTTTAAAGTACATTTAGGTATTAATACCTTATCGTTTATGGCTTTGAATAAGGGATTCCTATATGTATTATTTTGGATAATATATTAATAAATTGCTTGAAATGCTATGTTTTTCAGGACAAGTTACAAAGATATTGGATTGGATAGCTATAGAGGTTGTTTTGTCAAATATCACCAACATTTTCAGGATAGTTGCTGATAAAATGCCTAGTGATGTTCTGAGATATTTCTTATAACTTAATATGTGAGACTCTTTCAACAATCTTTGAAGTTCTATAAAATGTAAGGTGAATTATTAACATCTATCTCTTCTATTTGAAGATATGATGATAATATACCAAATTAAGTGTGAGAAAACCCACAGCAGTGCCAGGTTGAAAAATAAAAGGTGGTATAATATTCTAGGGCAAAAATGTATGTTGGTATTGGTAGACAAGAGGAATCAGCCAGTTGTTTCTAGTTATCTATCACACAAAGATAAAGGTTTCTAATATATTTTGGGGTTTTCCTCAAACACAGAGGGAGTACCAGGTAAGCAGAGGATGTTCCTAAGAAAATCTGAGCAGTGGAGAATTTGGATGCATACTCTTCATTTCTTGAAGATTCCAGTTTCAATCTGTGCAGCCATGCCTCTGAACTTGCTTTAAAAATTCTTTGACTCTGGGTGGAAATGGAAAGTAGACCTTTTGTAGAACTGCCTTAAGTGCCAGGTTAACAAGATGCCAGACTTTTCAAGGAAAGTGGATTTCCCTTGTGTGTTCTGGCTTACAAAATCTGTCTCTTTCATTTCAGGAATAAAATTGTCACACCTTCTAAATAGCAGAATAAGCCAAACTCAACAATCAAAGCCTTGTTTTTCTGTGAATGATCTTGAGCAGTCCCTTGAGAAAGAGTTGGGTGGAGAATATAAGCGTATAAATAGAGAACAAAAAGATTGGCTCATCTTACTATGGTAAATATTTCATCTGTCTACCTCTATTGTAAAGTACATATATATATATATTTTTTTTTATTTAAGTTACAAAATACTGGTGGAGTAACAGGATCTTAGATGTCTCTTTATTCAGAATGAATAAAGTAGAGAAAAAACAACCAAGGGAATTTCCCACCCATGTTTATATCAAAACTAACCAGAGGTAATCCCTTAGAAGTGGAGGATATTCGGGTCTCTTAAACAATCAACTTCTTTGGGGGACCTGGCTACAACATGGCCCAGTTACACTGATGAGTTAGTTCATGATACCAACTCATCAGTAGAAATGACTAAGTATTCTTGGTTAGAATAGGCCTAATACCTATCCTCAAAAACCACAAAAAATTATCAACACCTAATAGTTCATATTGTGACTGCCCCAAATCATTTTGTCATTCAAACACGTAAGTATGTTAAGTGCATGTGGGTATATATATATACACACACACTATATGTATATGTATATGTAATTATGTGGTGTGTATGCAGAGAGGTTGTCAGAATTGATCCATAGTGTTTCTAAAGAATCACTTACCTCTATCAGAAAGATATAAACATGCAGTAAGTTAATATAAAGACAGAAACCTGAGGATTATATGAAACCAAATAAATCACAGCAACTTAAAATAAAGAGACTTTTAATATTTAGTTTATCTGCTGCCATGTGAAATCAATATGTCTTACTTTAAAAAAAAATTGGAATGGAGAGAATCAAAGGATGACCTTTTTTTTGTTATTGGTGTTAATAACTGTGTTCCATTGCCCCATAGCTATTTAGTAGTATTAGAAGAACACAGAGGAGGAAATGTTTTCTAAGGGGACTGTGTTGAAAGGTTGTAGTGAAGTTTAACATAGTTTTGGAAGCTCAGTTTCACTTATTTTGTCTGATGCATATATATGCATAAGATCAGGTTACTGAGAAAGAAAGAAATACACTGCTCTTTTCATTGCTCAGACAAAGAATGAATTACAGCTAAAATTTGGGGTGGAGGCAAGGGGAGGGAATGAGTGCAATTGGGGGAGTCAGGAGAGATAACTTTAGCCATTCTGGGATAGCAAATGATTGATTTGCAGAGGCAGCCCTTCTCTCCGTTGGGAAGAACCATTTTCAGACAGCTCAGTCAATCCAGATTCCATCAATCCAAATTCTTCCTGTGATGGCCCCGACATGTAGTGCAGGCCTCTATTTCAAGACATCCACACTGTATTACGTATGGCGAGCTCTATCATCAACACAACTGTACGTATCTCAAAACTCGCATCAACTAGATATTTGTGTACCTCATTGTTTTTCACTGTGTGTAAATTCATTAAAACAGGAAACATCTTTTAAGGTAGTTATGAGGCTTTTAAGGTAATGTGGATTTAAATCAAAGCACAGCTCAACAGGGCCGTTTCTCAAGTGGTATATTGCTTGAATACAAAGACTATGTCATCATAGTATTTCTCTTTGATGGACCATTCTCTCTACAGAATCCATGCTTAGAACATATTTGGTGAATAGAATTTAATCTTGTTTTAACATTTAGTTTTTATCAAACAGCTACTCTTAAGGTATAGTCTAGATTCTCTGAGATTCCCAAGACCTTTTCAAGGGCCTACAGAGTTAAAAACTGTTTTCAAGCTAATACTAAGATGTGATTTGCCTTTTCATTGAGTTGACATTTGCACTGATATTGCAAAGGCAATGATGGGTAAAATTGCTTGTGCCTTAGCACAAATTAAAGCAGTGCCACCCATCTGTACTGGGAGTTATGTTGCTCATCCTCACACATTTGCAACCGAAAATGTTGCATGTCTTTCACTGAAGAATGACATTGATAAAGCAGTAAACATTTTTAATTTTATGCAATCTCAAATCTGAACTCCTTAGACTTTCTGATACTTGATGAAATGGGATGTATTTCTGAAGGCTACATATTGAAGTAGGAAGGTTATACCAAATACAAGTTCCATGATGTTTTTAATTTGTTTTGTGAACTGAACTTGCAACACTTTTTCCAGAACACAATAAAAAATTACCTGAAAGACCACATTGTAGACAAACTATTCAGACTTCAGCATTTGGTAGACAATCTCTCAAAAACAAAACAAAACAACAACAACAACAAAAAAAGAAACTCAAGTTATACATCATTAATGTATAAAAATAGAAGCTTAATCAATAGATTTTGATATAATAGAGCATGAAAAATTCATTGACATGGTTCCAGATTCCACATTGCAACTAACCTTTAAGAAACTAACACTTGATGAGTTTGGGGATAGTATCAAATCATATCCATAATTACCTGAAAAGCTTAAAAAATACTCCTCTTCTTTCAATTTCATATAATTCAACCAAAACAACATATCACAACAGATTGAATGCAGAAGCAAATATGAGAATCCATCTGTCTTCTATCAAGCCAGAACTTTAAAAGTTGTGCCATGCTATGAAACAATGCTAATCTTCTCACTACAGCTTTCATTTTGAAACATAACCTTTTTTTTAAAATTCTAAAATATGTGATTTATGTTAATCTGTAATGGATTTCTTATTTCTATTTTAAAGCATTAAGAAATGAACATTTTAAACTTTCTTAGTTTTAGTTTCCAATATGGTAAATATTATATAACCCACTTAAACAAAAGCTCTTTGAGGTCCTCAAACATTTTTTAAGCACATCCTGAAACCAAAAGGCTTGAGAATTTCTGCTGTAGAGAAATGAGGAGACAGGTTTGCCTTCCCAGGGAATCAACAAATTGCGAATTATTAGCCTATAACTTATTGGTAGAAAATAATAAATATCTTGAAAAGTGGTAAAGTTACCACAAGAATGTAATTACAGTGTCTCAGATGCTGATATCACTTTGAACTCAAAATCTGGTAAAACAAATGATTTGAAACACCTAAGATACAAGATAAAAGAAACCTACCTTGAAATAAAAGTAATGAAGCATTCCAGAAAAGAGTTCATCAGTCTCCTCCTTAATTCTTTACTTTTAAAAAGTGGATTTAGAGATTATCTCCTCATTTTTTGTCACGTTGCAAATTTTGCAAGTAAATTTAGTTTTCAACCCTTATTTGTAA
Source organism: Homo sapiens (assembly GCF_000001405.40). Lineage (NCBI taxonomy): Eukaryota > Metazoa > Chordata > Mammalia > Primates > Hominidae > Homo > Homo sapiens. Next base: position 28,712,233 of record NC_000012.12, on the reverse strand, counting down.
ATTAGAAAAGTTTAAGCCATTGACTTTCAAAATATCAGTCTTCCTATTGTAAATATTGGTTTCTTTGGATTTTCTCATTTCTTTCTTTCCTTCATTTATGCCAAAACTATTTATTGTTCTCAACTGAACAATACACAAAAAGTTAGTACAGTCAGTAACCACAGGGTCATAAGCCCTGGATAATGGGTAGCAGAGAATACATGCAGAGATGAACAAGAGATGCCCTTTATACTCGAAATGCTTCTGGGCAGTATTTGAATACAAATTGATTTTACTACTGTATTCAAGTTTTCCAAAATGATTGCCCCACACTTGAAGCCTTCAATCTGAATTGATAGAAAACCTCAGAGGAAGTGACCTCATTAAAAATATAGTTCCTCGTCATTGACAAACCGGCATCACCCTCTTCTCTCGTACCTATACTTGGTCACCTCCCCTGGTTCTTCACTCATGCAGGAGGATGTAAGTTATTTACTGTGATTGTGAAGAGGAAATATATGGATCTAGTTTTCATATCCAAAATTTGTACTTACTTTAAATCAGTATGTAGTATTAGTGATTTCAGTTAAAACAACTCACAGACATAGTTGTTGGCAACCCTCATGCATACCTGGGAATGCTGCCTAAAAACCAAAATGCTGCAAAAGTCATATGCATTTCAGTCACACTCTGTTTCATATGGCACCAATAACAAATACTGCTGGAAAGCATTTTCAAAGATCCCAGGTTCTCTTAAGAATTCCAGGTCTAATTACCAAGTAGGCTGGACGGTCTAAAAACATTTATGGATATTCACTTATGACATAGTAATTACCAGCTAATTATGAAATAATTATACAGGGCCTTTTGTTTTTGTGCCTGGGAAATGAATATGCTAACTACTGTATATTTTAGTGAGGGATAGGATGTGTGATGGGTAGAGAAATATCCCCTTTGCATTTCTTTTTCTTGTTTTTTTTCCCCCAAAAGACAACTCATGGCCAAGGATAATCATCTTTCTCTATTACAGCAGGATCCTGTGTATGATCTACTTGACTCTCCTTCTTTGTCTTCCACTTCTCCCTGACTATTTCATTCCATCAAAACCACAGAGAAGGAGAGGAGGCCAGTTTCAGCACCTCTGCCTCCACCATCACTACTGAGGAATGCTCTTACTCACTATAACCCAGAAGCAGGAGTAGAATCTCAGAGCACCCATGGAAAAAGGCAAGAGGCAGCTGTCTGTGAGCTATGTGCCACTCTGACTCCCCGTAATCACCTATAAAATGAGTCAATCATCAATAGGTAGAGGGAAGCCATTGAATTCTTCTTGTATTCTTGACTGAAATACTATTAAGTCAGTATCTTACAGTTCCTCTTTCTGAAGATGGCTTGGTTAGTGATATTTTAGGAAAATTAAATTGAAATGGACACTTAGTTATGCCACAAGAGCACAGATAAGATGTTTCTTTTTTAGGGAACATGGCATAGTGGTAGAAGAAGCTTAGAATTAGAATGTAGACAAAGATGGGGTCAAATCCTAGCTACATGAGCCGAAGAAATGTGTTTAGCCTTTCTAAATTTAAATTTACTTATCTGTAAATTGAGAATAAAAATATCTCTCAGAGAGATTCTTTGAGGATTAAATGAGTGAATGAGGAATAATTCCTTTTGATGAAGTTACTTTCCTTTCCTTTCTTTTCAAATGATAGTTCTCTGCTAGCTCTCTCAAAACATTCCAAAAGCACATGATATTACTTGAAATCTGTTTGCCACATGTAATGGATTCCTCTGCCATGGTAAGAATCCAATAGGATGGTAATCATGATTTTAATATTATTTCTTGCCATAGATTTTGCTGTATTTTAATAGAAGGAATCATTCCACTCCAGTTTAATTTAATTCAACAAATAGGTACTGAGTTTAAGCCAAATAAAAAACAACAACGACTACAAAAACGCAGTGCTTACTCTTTGTAAACATACAAGAGAGGAGAAATAATCAACATGTACACAAACCACAATAGTGAGTGATGGAACATGGAAGTGACTCAAAGATGTACACATGGTGCTAGAAGAGTTCTGGCAAAACAGATGCCTGTGAACAAATGTGAGCCTGAAGGAACTAATCCTTCAAGATGTATCCCAAGTGGCTAACTGGGCCTGAATTTAAAATACAGCCAAGAGACCCTTTGCTAACTAGACGTCACGCATGCACTCAGTTCTTTGAAAACCTGCAACCTTGAAAAGGGATTTTCAGGGCTCATCTGCCTCAGCCATCAGAGCTCAGCTGCATCAATAAATCAGAACTAAGCAAGTTTCAATCCTTCATTTGCATAAGCAAACCTGATTGGAATATGGACAGGAACTTCTGCCATAAAACATGAACCCTTTCTTTGTTCTCTAGAAGGTACCCTCATCTTACACTGAAAGTTGCATCTCACTGTTTGCAAACTGTTCATTGGAATAAAGTCTCTTTCCTCCAAATTCCTTTTCAGAGAACTTTTGTTCACATGCTCTGACATGTGTCTTCACATTACTCCTCAACCATGAGTGCCTTTGAAGTGTTTTTACCTGCCATAAACACACATATAGAGCTAGGACTCATGGTGACTCCATGACACTTCATTAGAAGTTTTTCAGGCTGGTCAATGTGGTAGAATTCCCCCCACCTTTCACCCCATCGTTAGCACTCAGAAAATGTGTGGAAAACCTGAGTTCAAATTTTAATACAAATTAACACAATGCTGTAGACCTTTATCCTCTCCCAGAGTCAAAATAGCTTGTCTTTCATTGAATTTAGGGGGAAAAAAATTGGTAAATCTATATTGCTCCATAAACAGTATGGCACAAAGTCTGTTGCAATTCTGTGCAATTTTCTGTAATCATGTGTACTTAAGTGAAATTTACATTATCATTATGAGCTGCACTATGGAAATGATTCTTTTAGCCTACAGCTATTAGAACCATCCTGGTGCCAGGACTAAGTTGTCAGCACCAGGGGAAGCAATTTCATCGAGTTTCTTCTTACACGGACACACGGCTCCTATTAGCACATATGCCTCCTATTTTGTTTTTCTTCCCCAGCTCATGGAGTTTGCCTCTGAGTGGAAATGAAAACAATTTCAAGAATGAAAAGTTTCAGCTTGTTGCTAAAAATATCTCCAATCATCAGCAGGGGAGGCAATTCCTCAACCACTTGCAACAAAGATGACCTCTTTGCCAGGCTTGGCCTACAGCAGGAGGTGTCTACTCATGAGCTCCTTTTACATGGGCTCAAAAATAAACAGCCAGTTCCTCTGGCTGGCCTCCCTCCTTGAATGGAGGCAGGGAACGTTCTGTACAAGGAAACCTTCTCCCACCAAGCTAGAGGCCAATCCTAACCAAGTCAATTGAAGCATCTGAGATACCTTAAAACATTAATAGCTTTTAATTACAGGTGCCCAAGTGGCTCAACTTTAATATCTCTCAATCCTGAGGACTCAGCATGTCGAGGACATCATATTACAAAGGTGTGGCAGTGCATCATATTACTTTTTAAAAATAAAATCAAAGACTATTTTTTTATAAACCTCTACCTTGAATATACATCTCTCCCAAGGTCACAGGAATACATTTCCATATTATAAGCCCCAAGTAAGCAAAAACTTGGAAACGAATGCCAAGTACAGGAAAAGTTACACATAAAATTCCCTCCTATATTTAAGGCTGACAGTGAAATATACACGGCTGAATCAGCACTCTGAAAAATTGAAACCACATGGTGTCCTTACCCCCAGGTACCATTAGCATATAAGAAGAAAAGCCAAATTTGCTTTTACAAAAAGAGAAATTGAGGCAAAACACCATAAGGAACTGATAGTAGAGTTAGAATTATGACCCAGAGATCACTTCTCTTAATCTCTCCAAGCTGGTAGGTAAATTTACTTCCAACAGTAGAGGTATGGAGTTCACAGGATTACAAGACACAGATTCAGATGTGCAAACCTTTTAATATTTTTCCACAAAGTAATATATGTACTTTGAATCCCCTATGTGCCTGGTGTTAGGAAATGTAATCATGATCAATTGCAGATATATCCAGTGCTATAAGATTTGCCATTAGTAAATTCAAAATTTCCCCCATGGCTCTTTCTCCCCAGGGTGCATCCAAGTTCCATGAGTTACGCCAGATTGTGTCAATGGAGCGTGGATGGGGCAAAGAGAGGCATCCATCATCTGCTGCTAAGCACATTATTGAATCTGGTGCTTCGCTATTGCTCTTCTTCTGTGTTTGCATCCATTGAGGTGACTGAATGCCCATCTGCTGAGGGTATCCTTTTATTCAGACCATGAGACCTTTGGGTCTTCCAATTCTCAATATCACATCTGATCATTTACCATGAAAAAATATTTGGCTGTATCCACATCTTTGAGGGAGTCTCAGGGACTCTGGGAGGGTACCTAAGGTCTATCTCACTTAGATACACCATGCAGCAATTTCAGTTCCTCTCTCTTATGCATGGTGGAGTAGACAAGTTTGGAGCTTGCTCACCTTCCACCCCTGGAAATTACCTTGGAAAGTGAGGGCATAGCAGGATGAAAGTCTGGCTCAGAGAGCAGCATAAGTAACTTACTCTCTTTCTTCCTGTCCAGCTCTTCTTTCCTCAACCCAAACTTAAAGGATCTTGTTTTAATCTGATGAGTTGATACAAGAGATGAATAGAACTAGTTCCACCCAAACACATATTCTCAGATATTTAAATTAATCCTTCCAATATTGCTCTGCCACAGCAAAATAGATTAAAGGTTATTAAATAAAAATCAAATACTTTTACTGTTCTCCCTTTCTTCAAGTAGTAAACAGATTTTTATTCAATAACCTTTAATCTGTCAAGAAATAATTTCATAAAACTCTACAGAAAAGTAAGGAGACAAAACAGTGAAAGGGGAATAAGAAATTTAAGAACTTAGAGACTATTATTTTGATTTGAGAAATGTTCTTCATACTATTCTAGTTTCTTTTCTTTCTTTTATCTGTTTTTCTCCTTCCTTCCCTTTTTTTTTTTTTTTTTTTTTTGGAGATAGGTCCTTGCTCTGTCACTCAGGTTGGAGTATACCAGCACAATCAAACCCACTGCAGCCTCCAACTCTTGGACTTAAGTGATTCTCCCACCTCAGCCTGCGAAATAGCTAGGGCTAGTGTACACCACCACACCTTACTCATTTAATTTTATTTTTTTGTATAGACAGGGTCTCACTATGTTGTCCAGGCTGATCTCAAACTCCAGCACTCAAGCCATCCTTCCACCTCAGCTTCCCAAGTAGCTAGGACTACAAGGCATGCACCACCACATCTGGTTTTTGTTTGTTTGTTTGTTTGTTTGTTTGTTTGTTTTTTGTGGGGGGTTTTTGGTTTTTTTTGTTTTGTTTTGTTTTGTTTTAGAAACAGGATCTCACTATATTGCCCAACCTGGCCTCAAACTCCTGGCCTCAAGCAATCCTCCCACCTCGGCCTCTCAAAGTGCTGGGATTACAGGCACTTTTTAACAGGTGGTATTACAAATGGGCATTAAATTTGTAGAGTGACTTGTCTAGGTGCTATTTCACAGTCTCACAACTCCTCTTTTATCTGAGCTTTCTTATAATTGCCCATCTCATGCTATCCCTGCTCTCCCCTCTATTCTGATTATTATCCTTACTATGCTTTACCAATAGCTATTTTTTTCTTTCTCTGTCCCCATACTTCACAATCTTTCCACTTCATAAAATATGATACTACCTATTTGGAACTAAGGGATAAATGGATGACTACTGTTCCCAGTTAGATACTCTGAGCATGAAGGAGCTGATATCTTAAGTACTTCAAATTATTTTATGGAACACTCCTGGGCCTCAGCAAACGAATCAGGAAGATTTGATAAAGGCAAGTCCTCACTATGCATCAAATCTTGCTCCTCCTGCGTGTCCTCCATGAATCACTGTCAACTATTCTAGCCGATTATTGATCTTCCCATTTTACAATGTCTTAAAAGGCACTTCAAAAATCCCCTATAAAACATTTAACCCTTTGTCCTACACTATCTTATACTGTTCTGTTTGTTTGAAGTACGTTATTGTTCTTTTAGCAATATTGGAAGATGCCTGAGTATATAAATCATATTTTCTAGAACTAAGACCACTTCAAAATCATTCAAATTCAAGGCTGGAAGCATTGTAGTTATTCAAAAATAATGTAGAAAAATCATAGTGCATAATGGAAAGAAAATGGGCAGTCATATAGACAAAAATGTAAGCCCTTCTTCCATCCATTAACCATACGAATTTGAGAAAGTTTAATTGTAAACGTTGTGAGAATCAAAGAAGATGATAGCACAAAGACACCTAGTGAGATTTCGTAGCTACAAACTGAATAAATGAGTGAATGAAAGAATTTCCATGAAAAGATATAAAATATGCTAAAGAATGTGCCAGATCAGAAAAAAAAAGAAATATAAAAGAGTTGAAACAGCCAGAATCTTCAAAGGCCAGAAGTAGGTGAGAACACAGCATATTGTGAAACTGGCCGGTGGTCAGTTTAACTCAAAGTTAGAGTAAAAGAGTGGCAGACAGGACTTCCACTTTTGGCCAAGGTAGACTAATAGAGACCAGATGTACCCTCCTGCCTGAATAAAATAATTAGACTAAATGTATGAAACAATATTTTCAAAACACTGGATATAAGCAATGAAGGACAATGATCCCTAAGATATGGGAAGCATATGAAGCAAGTATTATTTTGTCCAGGCTTAGGTCGTTAGTGAGTTTACATGCCTCACAGCCAGGAGAGAGAACTCTAGCAGAGTCCAACAAACTCCCTAAGTTGAGGACACAGGGCTGAGGGTCTGAGAAAACCACAATGGCTAGAGTTAGCAGGATAGAGTACTGGAGAAGTAAGTGCTGCATTGAGCAAGAACTACAAATATTTGTAGAGGGTCTTGCTGGAATCGTCAGCAGAGTTTATAGATCACCACATTCGTGTTAGAAAATAATCTAAAGCCAGGGAAAGAATCATCCAAAAAGGATTAAAGAGAGTAGTACCCAGCACTCATGTAAGGCCAGGAACATTGCTTGTTCCCACCAGCCAGACTGGAAAACCTCAAAATTCACATGGCATTGGTAAGAACACTCAGAAGGGTCTTGCCTCAGAAGTGGAGAATAATTTGGCATAGACAATGCAACACTCTGGTCCCACCTAACAAACTTTAAAAGCAAAACCCAAAGGATTAAACAGTTTCCAAGTAACATAACTGCATCCAAAAACAAAGCTCAAGAACAAAGGTAAAATTCAACAGTCTGGAATTCAATAAAACATTAGTCCTGCCCAGAAGAATTCAAAACTATTTATGTATACACTCCACCCTCAAGGAGGGTGCTCCCCACTCCTTACACATGGACTATGCATAGTGACTTCCTTCAAAACAGCACAGTATGAAAATGAGGGGAAAGATTACTTTACAGTGGAGAAATGTGACAAGCATTATCTCAGGCAGGTGATCAAGGATAACATCAATAGTAATAAATCATGTCAGTAATAGGTATCCTTGATATGATGTGATGACACCAGCAGTTTTCCTCTCAAAAACAGAAAATCCCAGTGTAATCATGAGAAAAACATCAGAAAAATGTCAGTTGAGGGACATTCTACAAAATACCTGACTTGTACTCCTCAAACCTATCAAGGTCATCAAAAACAGGAAAAGTCTGAGAAACTGTCATAGCCAAAAACAGCCTAAGGTCATGTGACTGCTGAATGTGATTTGGTATCCTAGATATGACTATTAGGATCAGAAAAAGACACTGTAAAAAAAATAAGGAAATCCGAATACATTATGGAATTTAGTTAGTAATAATATATCAGTATTAGTTCATTAATTATCACAAATATACAACACTAATGTAAGATGCTAACAGTAGGGTAAATTTAGTGTGGAGTATGTGGTGACTCTCTGTCCTATCTTCACCGTTTTTCTGTAAATTTAAAACTGTCCTAAAACGGGAAGGCTTTGTGAAATCAAATAGAATTGTAAAAAATTTCCAGGCATCTGAAGAAGCAGGGAAATATGACCCTCAACATGGAGAAAAAATTAAATCAATTAAAACTGCTCCATAACTAATACAGATGTTATTATTAACAGGTAAGAACACTAAAATGGTTATAATTGAATTCCACATGTTCAAAAAGCATGTAGAGGCATGGAAGACAACAAGACAGTCCTCAAATTTCCACAGTTGAAAACATCAATGTCTGAGATGAGAAATACATTGGATATAATTAATGACAAATTAGACGTTGCCGAAAAAAGGACTATTTAAGTAGAAGTTATAGAATCTCCTACAAAAGAGAGACAGAGAATTTTAGAAAATTAACAAAGTAAAAGTGAGCTGTGAGATAACTTCAAATACCCTACTATGCATGTAACTGGAGTCTTCATGAAAGGAAAGCAGAAAAAAAATTGCAAAAGTAATAGCTAAAATTTTTTCCACATTTGATGGGAAATATAATCCCATAGATACAGGAAGCTCAATAAATACAAAGCACAAAAAATGTCAAGAAAGCTGCACCAAAGCACATTACGATCAAACTGTTGAAAATCAATGATAAAGAGAAAATTTCAAAAACAGCCAGAGTGAAAAGATACATTAAGCACTGAAGAAAAGGATGGCAGATGTTCCATCAGAAACAATGCAGGCAAGAAGACAGTGAGCAACATCTTTAAAATAGTCTCACAGAAACAAAACAAAAACTTGCCAACCTAGAATTCTATATCCAGTGTGTAACTTTCAGAAATATAAACAAATACTTTTTTAGGCAACAAAAGCTGAGAGAATTTATTACAAGGAGATCTGTACTATAAGAGATATACAAGAAAATTATTTAGGCAAAAAGAAATATGATACCAGACTTGCACCTTCATAAAGACATGAAGATTTTCAAATATAATTAAAATGAATGTAAATATTTTAAAATACATTTTTCTTATCTTTAGACTTTCCAAAAAATAATTGATTTAGAGTGATTTTGGATAATGAGTAGAAAGGTCAGTGGAACAGGGGAGAGAATCCAGACAAAGATCTAGATACTTATGATAAAATAATTTTAACAGAGATACAAATTCAATTAAATGAAAAAAACCTTTTCAGCAAACAGAGCTAAACTGAACAACCATATGCAAAACAATGAATCTCACATACCTTATCTAAAAATTAACTTAAAATGGCTTATAAGCCTATGTGACAAACTACAGAATTTATAGAATAAAACACAGGAAAATATTTTTGTCTTTTGGTTAGGCAATGAGTTATTAGATGCAACAACAACAAAAAAGCACAATCTTTAAAAGAAAAATAATGACGAATTGGACTTCATCAAAATTAAAAATTTTTGCTCTTTGAAACACACTGTTGAGATTGAGAAGATGAGCCAGAGACTAGAAGTAAATGTGTGCAAAATACATGTCTAATGAAGAATTTGTATTCAGAATATATAAGGAACTTTATAAAAATAAAAATAAAATGAATAACTAAAGCCAAAAAAATTCGAACACTTCACCAAAGAAAATATAGGATGGCAAAAAACCATATGAGAAAATACTCAACACCTTTAGTCATTAAGGAAATGCAAATTTGAACACTACTCAATATCACTACTCACCTATTACAATGGCTAAAAGGAAAAAAAAAAAAAAGCTGATGAAACCAAGTGCTGGTGAGAGAGTAAAGAGCCTGAAATTCTTAGATATTTCCAGTGAGAATGTGAAATGGTACATGACTTTGGGAAGCAGATTGGAAGCTTCCTATAAAATTAAACATACATTTACTATATAACCTAGGAATCCCACTCCTAGTCATTTACCAAAATGAAACTAAAACTTAAATCTATAAAAATATGTGCATGCAAATGTTAATGATGGCTTTAGTTATAATCATCCAAAACTGGAAACAACTCCAATCTTTTTTGACATTAATGTGAATAAACTGTGGTAGAGTTATACCGTAGAATATTACTTACCAATAAAGAGGGAATAAATTACTGATAAACATAACAACATGGAAAAATCTTAAATATATTATACTAAGTGAAAGAAGCCAGTCACAAAAGGCTACAGAGTCTGAGTCCACTTACGTGACATTATGAAAAAGGCAAAGCCTAAGCCACAGAAGTCAGACTGGCATTGTCGAGGAATGTGGGTAGAAGGAGAAATTGACTACAAAAAGACACAGGGAAATCTGGAGGGGGTGGAAGTGGTGAAGCTGTTTTATATCTTGATTGTGGTGGCTACATGACTGTATGCATTTGTCAAAATTTGCAGAACTGAATGCTAAAAATGCTAATTTTACTGTCTATTGAGAAAATAGTAGCAGCATATTATGTATTTGTAGTATATGTAAAAGCAAAATGTGTAAGAACTATAGCATAAAAATGGGAAGGAAGAATTGGAAACACACTGTTATAACATTCTTAAACTACATATGAAGCAGTATAATATTCAAATTGGATTGTGATGATTGTAGAACTCGTGGAGATGGTAGAATGATAGTTACCAGAGGCTGGGAATGGTAGTGGGAGTGGGGAGAGTGGGGAGTGGTTAATGGCTACAAAATTATGTTAGATAGAATGAATAAGATCTAGTATTTGTTAGCACAACAGGGTGACTATGGTCAATAATAACTGTACATTTAAAAATAACTAAAATAGTATAATTTGATTGTAACACAAAGAAAGGATAAATGCTTGAGGTGACGAATACCCTCACTTACTCTGATGTGACCATTATGCATTGTATGCCTATATACACCTGCTATGTACCCACGAAAATTTAAAATATTTTTAAAAGAACATATATTGTAAATTTTTGGACAGTTACCAAAATTTTTTAAGAGATAGGAATAAGCCCACCATGAAGATAATATGAAATAATATAAAAGCAACTCATCCAAGAACAGGCAGAAAAAAGTGGAGCAAAGAACCGATTAAACAAATTGAAAATAATAAGCAAGAGGGTGGCTTTAAATCCAACAAATTAACAAAGACAATAAAGATAGATGGTCTGAACATACCAATTTATAAACAAAAGAAAACAAAAACAAAAACTTTCCAAGTTACAGGGTCAGTTATAGAACTCGTAGATTCAAATTAGGTTAGTAAAGTAGCAAGGACTTTTTAAAAAGCAGGTCTAAGTCAGGAGAGAATTAAACAGAAAAGGGAAATTTTCTAATAAGCCTTCATACAAGATTCTGCTTTTAAATAAGCCTAATTAGGTGAAAGCTTTGTGAAGGCAGAGCTTTGGAGGAAGCAGCTGTCCCATCATGTTTTGCCCAGATGTGGTTTGGGAATGGGGGACAGCAGACAGGAGACCAGTTTTCAACATCCAGTCAGTCCCTTGTTCCATCCCCAGCTCAACCACTGACTCACCATATAATTATGGCAATTTGCTCAGATTTACTTTCTTAAATTTTTGAAATATGCAAAATAATACTTAATCTTCACCTTACTTACTGGGAAAGGATAAGGAGAGACAGGATAGGCTCCCTAAAATATTGTGAACTTCTCAGTTCAGGAACACTTAATTACTGTTCCTTTTCAAAACCAATAAATTTTCACCTGATTTTTCTTGCTTTTTATGCAGAAGGCTAATATTAAATTATATCCTTTATAACCTATTTTCTTTTTCCAAACTAATTTTGTTAGAAAATCATGAGATTGAAAGTTACAATGTTAAGTTTGACCTTGGAAAATTCTGTGACTGAAGAGGAAGCCAAATGTCATGTATCACTACATTTTGTAAAGAAATTGATCCTTTGAAAAATAGATTGGCTTCAAAACGAATTTTTAAAAGATCTGTAAGAACCTTTTCTTGCAAAACGGAAATACACACTGATAATTTATCTTTATTTCTGTGAAGTCTACAACCCAACAGATTACCCCTTCTTGCCCAGTAGCAGGAGTGACCACACACCATCAAAGTCGGGCAGATGCTATTGATTTCTTTTTTCTTTTCTTTTTTTTTAATCCTTTAAGTTCTGGGGTGATGCTGTTGATTTCTATTCAACTATCATTTATTTATTTCTTGCTAATGGGACCCTTGATTTTTTTTTTTGGTGGGGGGCAACAATGTACACCTTCCTGACCAAAAGGTCATGAATTTTAAAGCATCATTTCTCAGAAGGAAAGCTGCTGTCAGTAGAAGAAAGGGAGCTAATTATTAGTTACACAGGACTATACTGCCCATGGTGAGAATTTTTGCATCTTGCCATGGCACATTAAAGGTCAGGAGTATTTCCTGGTCACTGTGATAACTAGAAAATATTCTCTACCATTTCCAAGTGCTCACCTACAGAGTAATGTTCTCTGTTGAGAAACCCTTGGACCAAGCTGTTTTAGTCTGTTGGGCTGCCATAGCAACCTACCATGGACAAGGTGGCTTAAATAACAAAACTTTATTTTCTCACAGTTCTGGAGGCTAGAAGTCCAAGATTAAGGTGTTGGCAGGTCTGGTTTCTTCTGCGGCCTCTCCCTTTGGCTTGCAGGTGGATGCCTCCTTGCTTTGTTCTCACATGACCATTCCTCTGGGTGCATGCACTTCTGCTATTTCTGTGTGTCCAAGTTCTCTCTTCTTTTAAGGCTACCAGTCAGATTGGATTAGGCCCCACAATGAAGGTCTCATTACCTGTTTGAAGACCCTATCTCTAAATATAGTCACATTCTGAATTACTAGTCATTAGAACTTCCACATGTGAATTTTGGGGAAACAAATTTCAGCTCATAACACAGACCAAACATTAAAATCCTGCTGCCCTTTTTTAGATACATTGACAGGTAAACTGAGACACAATAAAAAGTCTGAAGAGTTTATTTGAACAAACAGTGATTCATAAATTAGGAAGCACCAAACCAAAAGAGGTTTCAGGCTCTTTTGAAGAAGTGTAAGGGACAGGCTTTTATAGGGTGAATGTAGAAGTAAAGCAAAGACAATACCAGACTGGTTACAGTTACACAGCTCTCTTATTTGGTCTGTCCCTCTGGAAAGTCCCTTGTTATAGACCTCTAATAAGTTACTTGGCAGCTTCTCATTGGTTGAGTTTAAGATTCATTTTTCTCTAATACAAGCATTTCTTGTAAATGCTTGTAAATGCCAAATTTAACTTATGTTTGTAATCAAGTGAGGTTAAGGTTACTTTCAATTCCTAATGGTTTTGTCTGCTCAGGAATTTTCCAGGGCTGTTCTCCACCTTAAATCACTTTAACAGACATTAGACTTCCCAACCTTCTAAGGTTGAATTTAATAAAGGTCATGGGACCCAGTTCTGCCCAATGAGGTGTCAAAGGAAGTCGGCTTGGTGTGGGTGTGGGGGAGCTTATGGGAAAGCTTTTGCTTTTCTGATAAAAGGGTTATGCATGGCCAGTCTCACTCCTAGCCCTTTCTTTCAGCCTTGAATGCTGATATGATTGGTGCCTGTGACCATGAGAAAAAGATTACAGAATGGCAGAGATACCATCTTAGACCCTGACATAATTGTCATTGAAGCAATCTACCTCTGAGTGTCTTGTCACATGAGAAAAATTAGCTGTTTAAGTTTCTGTAGGTCATGTTTTCTGTCATTTGCTACTGAAAGCACTCTTAGCAGATGCAACCTGAAAATATCTGAGAAATCCTGCTCGAAGTTGTGAAATCTATAGACAGACACTTACTCATATTGTTCCCTTGTTATTCTTTTAATGTCTGTAGGTCTTTAGAGTCTTTCATTTATCGTATTTGTAATTTGTGACTTCTCTTACTTTTTCTTGATCAGTCTGGCTACAGGTTTTTCCATTTTATTTAAGTTTTTCAAATAGCGAGCTTTCAGTTTATTGATCTTTTTTTCTGTTTTTGATTTTATTGATTTCTGTTATCTTTGTTATTTCTTCCTTTATGCTTACTTTGGGTTTAATTTTCTTTTCCTAGTTTCTTAAGGTGGAGATTTAGACCACCTTATGATTTGAGACCTTTCTTCTTTTCTACTATTAGCATTATTTCCTGTTATAGACTAAATGTTTGTGTCCTTGCAAAATTTGTATGTTGAAGTCCTGACCCCTAACGTAATGGTATTAAAGGGTGGTAGGGTGGTATTAAGAGGTAATTTGTTGAAAGATGGATTCCCCATGAATAGGATTAGTGCATTTATAAGAAGAGACATGAGAGAATGTGCTCTTTCTCCCTCTCCCTTCAAAACATGTGAGGATACAATGAGAAGGTAGTTGTTTGCAAACCAGAAAGAATCCCCTTATCTGACATAGAATCAGCTAGCATCTTGAACTTCGTCTTCCCAGCCCCCAGACCTATGAGAAATAAATGTTTGTTATTTAAGTCTCCCAGTCTATGGTATTCTTGCTATAGCAGCCAGAACTGACAGAAACATTTTCCTGTAAGTACTGCTTTTGCTGCATCCCATAAGTTGACTGGGGATTCTCCATGTATCTTTCTCATTATTGATTTCTAGATTACTTCCTTTGTGGTCCATATGATTTCAATCATCTTAAATTTAGTAAGATACATTTTATGGCCTAAAATGTGGTCTGTGTATATTTGTAAACAAATGGGTTACTCAGCAGCTTTTGTGTCCTATATTGATGATACTGTTCCTCAAGTCTTCTATAAACTTATGATTTCTTATTTGCTTGTTTAAAAATTACTGAGATAAGAGTGTTACAGTCTTCAACTATAATTGTGGATTTATCTATTCCTTCCTTTAGTTCTACCAGTTTTTGCTTCATGGATTTTGAAATTAGTAGTAGCATATACATTTAAGATTAATATGTTTATGATAAATTTATCCCTTTATTATTGTGAAGTATTCCTGTTAATCTGTGATAATATTTCTTGCTCTGAAATCTACATTGACATTAATTAATATAGTCATTCAAGCTCTCTTTGGATTAGTATTTGCATGGGATACCTTTGTCTATAATTCATGTATTTTTGTATTTAGAGTAAGTTTCTTACATATCCTTTTCAGTAGTATGGATGCAGCTGAAGGCCATTATGCTAAGCAAATTAACACAGGAACAGAAAACCAAATGCTGCGTGTTCTCATTTATAAGTGGGAGGTAAAACATTGGTTACACACAAACACAAAGAGGGAAACAAGAGACACCAGGGTTTACTTGAGGGTGAAAGGTGGGAAGAGAGTAAGCATCAAAAAATTACCTATCAGGGCTGGGTGCAGTGGTCCACGTCTGTAATCCCAGCACTCTAGGAGGCAGAGGCAGGCGGATCACTTGAAGTCAGTAGTTTGAGACCAATCTGGCTAACATGGTGAAACCTTATTTCTACTAAAAATACAAAAAAAAAATTAGCTGAGCATGGTGGTGTATACCTGTAATCCCAGCTATTTGGGAGGGTGAAGCAGGAGAATCCCTTGAACCCAGGAGGTAGAGGTTGCAATGAGCCAAGATCAAGTCACTGTATTCTAGCCTAGGTGACAGAGTCTCACTCTGTCTAAAAAAATAATAAAAATTTTAAAAAAAAAACCTACCCTATCAGGTACTGTACTCACTACTTGGGTGATGATATCATTTGTATACCACACCTCAGTGATGTGCAATTTACCCATGTAACAAACTCGCACATGTACCCCTGAACTTAAAAGTTGGAAGGAAAAAAAAGATTCTATTTTGTTTTCTTTTCTATTGTTCTATTAGCTATAGAAGTTTGTTTGTTTGGCTGGTTTTAGTAGTTGCAATCAGGTTTAAACATAAAATTGACAAATGGGATCTAATTAAACTAAAGAGCTTCTGCACAGGAAAAGAAACTACCATCAGAGTGAACAGGCAACCCACAAAATGGGAGAAAATTTTCGCAACCTACTCTTCTGACAAAGGGCTAATATCCAGAATCTACAATGAACTCAAACAAATTTACAAGAAAAAAACAAACAACACCATCAAAAAGTGGGCGAAGGATATCAACAGACACTTCTCAAAAGAAGACATTTATGCAGCCAAAAAACACATGAAAAAATGCTCACCATCACTGGCCATCACAGAAATGCAAATCAAAACCACAGTGAGATATCATCTCACACCAGTTAGAATGGCAATCATTAAAAAGTCAGGAAACAACAGGTGCTGGAGAGGATGTGGAGAAATAGGAACACTTTTACACTGTTGGTGGGACTGTAAACTAGTTCAACCATTGTGGAAGTCAGTGTGGCGATTCCTCAGGGATCTAGAACTAGAAATACCATTTGACCCAGCCATCCCATTACTGGGTATATACCCAAAGGACTATAAATCATGCTGCTATAAAGACACATGCACACATATGTTTATTGTGGCACTATTCACAATAGTAAAGACTTGGAACCAAGCCAAATGTCCAACAATGATAGACTGGATTAAGAAAATGTGGCACATATACACCATGGAATGCTATGCAGCCATAAAAAATGATGAGTTCATGTCCTTTGTAGGGACATGGATGAAATTGGAAATCATCATTCTCAGTAAACTATCGCAAGAACAAAAAACCAAACACTGCATATTCTCACTCATAGGTGGGAATTGAACAATGAGAACACATGGACACAGGAAGGGGAACATCACACTCTGGAGACTGTTGTGGGGTGGGGGCAGGGGGGAGGGATAGCACTGGGAGATATACCTAATGCTAGATGACAAGTTAGTGGGTGCAGCGCACCAGCATGCCACATGTATACATATGTAACTAACCTGCACATTGTGCACATGTACCCTAAAACTTAAAGTATAATAATAAAAAAAAATTAAAAAGAGCAAAAAAAAAAAAATACATCTTTAACTTATCAAAATCTGCTTTCAAATATTATGCTCATTTACACATAGTATAAGAATCTGACAATACTACACTTTCCCTTCCCCCTCCTGGTCTTTATGCTATTGTTGTCATGCATTTTACCTCCATATGTGCTGTTAATTCTATGATAAATTGTTATTACTTTTACTTTAAATAGTCAATATTCTTTAAAGAAATTAAAAAGGGTAAAAAATGTTTTTACCCATATATTTACTGTTTCTGGCACTATTCTTTTCCATGTTTAGATCCAAATGTCTATATAATAATCTTACTTCCTAAAGAACGTCCTTTAACATTCTCCATAGCAATGAATTCTCTCAGCATTTGTTTGCTGAAAGTTGCATTTGGGTCTTTTTCTTGAAGACTTTGGGATGAGATTATCGTCTAAATGGTTGAACTTTGAGTAAAGCTGATTGTCCTCCACAAAGTGTTGAAGGCCGGAATAGAAGGCCAATCAGTTGAAGGCCTGAATAGAACAAAAAGCCTGGCCTGCCTAAGCAAGAGGAAATTCTCCAGCGAATTGCTTTTGGACTGCATCTTCACTATCAGCTGTGCCGGGTCTCCAGTCTGCAGGCTACAGATTTTGAACTTCCCAGCCTCCAGAATTGCACAAGCCAATTCCTTATAATAAATCTCTTTCTATATATGTATATACATTCTCTTGGTTCTGGTTCTCTGGAGAACCCTAACTAATAGACTATCTCAAACTTGTAGCCTATAAGCTGGTGCAATTGTAGGGATCATCTTGTGTAATTACCTATTGTCCAAGGTCTGAAAACTTTTTCTTTCATGTATATTGACCAGTTTTCTACTTGTTTAAGGTAGATCATTTAATTCAGTCCCTGTTACTCTATCTTTACTGGAAGTAGAAGTCCTCCTTGCATTTTTTTAACCCCATTCATCTCTCATTAGAATCTCAGGATGATACGAATTGGAGTTTGAGAAATTATTGAAACAAACACTTCACATTACAAATGAGACCTGAATCCCATTCTTTTCTGTGTGAACAAACATTTACTGGGCAGCTTTTAAGGACTTGGAATGTACATATTGCATGCTGGAAATTAATAGAGTGGTATCTCTAGTGCTTATGATTAAAAAGTTACTTTAATCTCTCACTCCTGCTTGTTTTTCTGAATTTTGTCTGAATTTGGAAGATAAAGAGTTACTTCTTATTAAATCCAAACAATTGGCAGAGAAGAATCAATGGATTTATATCTTCTCTGGAATTATAAATCATATATCAGAATTGTCTGTCAGTTTGCTCCCTCACTAGAGACACCACTCATTAGAGAATGAGCATCAGCTTTAAGCCTAATGGGTTTATGACACTTCATCGCTGAATATGCAAGCTTACTTACTATTCACAGATAGCACAGGACATCAGCAGTCCTCCCCAGAACATGCCACACCTGCAGAGAGGGTGTGACACATATGCAACCTCTCTACAGGCCACAAGACTCCCAGCTAAATACAGAAGAGATTAAGCCCTATACTTCCAATTCCTTCTACAAAACTCAGATCTGGAGAAGAATGAAAAACGGGCCAAAGAGAGGTCAAAAGAGTTACGCTCATGGAGATTTCTTCCACAGAGTAGTACGGGCAGTGGAGGATAAGTGTTCTCCCTAACACTGTTCATTTTACTGTCTGGCAAGTCCTTTCTCTTTGTTTTATGCATATTTATTAAAAGTCTCTGAACTCCAAACCTCTTGCCAATGTTTCTTAAGCCTGATGATTCCTACTATTGCTCCACAACGTGTATATGGGAGTTCCCATGTAGGAAGAAAAATAGCATCCTTGTATAACTAATTAAGAAAGATTAAAGGAAAGCAAAGAATTTAACTATCTTTACATAGAAAAGGTGGCCGGTGTTTTAGTGAGTATTTTCTCAAAATCTATACCCATGCCTGGCACATATTAAGCACTAAATAAATCTGTTAGATAAATGTTCAAATAATTAGCCTAAGCTTATAGACAAGAGTCTAAAACATTGATGGCAAAATTCCCAAAATGCAAAATAACTCAAGCAATAGGCATTCAAAAGTATTGATTTATATTACAGAGTCAAAACAAGGTGGAGAGTATGGATTCTAGACTCCAGGCTTGGATTTTGGCTCTACTTCTTTGACATCTTGTTATAACCCCCTGAGCCAAAGTCTTCTCATCCGTACATTAAGAAAAATAATATTGGCCAGGTGCAGTGGCTCACGCCTGCAATCCCAGCACTTTGAGAGGCCGAGGTGGGCGGATCACGAGGTCAGGAGATCGAGACCATCCTGGCTAACACAGTGAAACCCCATCTCTACGAAAAATACAAAAAAAAATTAGCCGCGCGTGGTGGTGGGCGCCTGTAGTCCCAACTACTCTGGAGGCTGAGGCAGGAAAATGGTGTGAACCCAGGAGGCGGAGCTTGCAGTGAGACGAGATGGAGCCACTGCACTCCAGCCTGGGCGACAGAGTGAGACTCCATCTCAAAAAAAAAAATAAAAATAAAAGAAGAAAGAAAAATAATATTATCTACCCCAAATGGTTCTTTGAGGGCAAATGAAATGATCCATTTAAAGTACTTAGCTCACACAGTGTCTAATACATATTGCTCAATAAACATTAGCTAATAGTAATAACATAGTGGTATTAACCAGTTGAGCAAGACCACAGAACTCTCCTTATTTCTGATCTGCAAAATAGAATAATTATAATTCCACTGCCTTGCCTCTCCAACATTTTGTTAAGAGGGTCAAAGAAAATGTTCATTGAAGAGCTGTATGGATACAAGACATCCCCATGAGTCATATTTTTTTCATACTCCCCTGCTCTTCATTTACTGATGGCCCTAATAAATATGTAGAAAGCTAGGGATATTTGAGGAGAGATAAGTGTGTTATAGGCTAAGAGGCTTTTCTGAGCCCATCTGCAAAGCTGCTGACAGTCTTTTTTATTGGTAAGAGTTGTGCCTCTTCACTAGGCTGTCATCATTTCTTTTCTCAAACTGGGTGTGGGTGGGGGCAGCCACAGCTGACAGGCAGCCTCTCTGGGTGGTCTCTGTGTTGCTGCTCAGACTGTTGCTGCTGTCATTTCTTAAGTAATCATCTCCTCAGCTTTTTTATGGCATTGACCTCCCTTGCATTCATTGACCTCTTTTGCAGATCATGCAGTCATTTAACTGTATCAGCTGCAAATATTGACAGCCAAACAATTTCAAAGGCAGCAAATCAATTTATGAAGTATAACGTCCCTGATTAAGTATATATATATATAATATATATATTATATATATATTATATATATATTATATATTATATATATATTATATATATATATTATATATTATATATATAATATATATATATATAATTAAGAGCAAAACATTTACTTTATTATAGGTGTGTGAAAGGAAAGAGCATTATTTCAGTACAGTGAATTGCTTGGTAAAATTTGCTGTCTTAAAACTACTTTGTGACCAAATGTAACTCAGAGGACATTAAAAATTGCAACATATTTTAATGAATATGTTTTTTGGGAGTAATTCCTTTCAACACAGATCACTCCAATCTGAAGTAACTGCCTGATTTAGTTAAAATTAACTCATCTCTGCTTATGCCAACTCTCCTGCTCATGCTTCATCATTTGCTGAGTTGTAAATAATAGAACCAAGCAGCAGGTAAGATGTGTAACAGAGGTTTTGGACGCAAAAGGCCTTCATCAGTTGCATGTAACTTAAAAGCGTCTGTCTTAATCAAGGCTTTCCTGGTTGGTATTTTCCAAAACCCATATCACATTAGCTTACGAGGAAAATATGCAGATTACGGTGACTGTCAGTCCATATTTATCTGGGACTGAAGGATTTCCAAGAATGTGGGACTTTCATTGCTAGAACTGGGAAGGTTCTGAGCAAATCGGGACAGTGGATCACTGAGGTGTTGCTGGGGTGGGATATATTGTAAAGATATTTGCCTACGTATGGAATTCAAGAGCAGGACACACAGTATCGCTTCTTAAAGTAGGACAAAAAACTGGAAATCCTTCAGAGTCAAGCAGCCATTTTTTCTTTTTCTTTGTATACTCTAGTTCTCTCTGAATGTTTATTTCATTCTCTCTCTCTGTCTCTCCTCTACCATCTACAGATTAGCTCACTGTTTTACCCTGACTTAAAAAGTACAAGAGTGTAACTCAGTGGAATTTAATGGTCCACACTCTTATCACATAAAATCTTAAAGATTCTCAAGCAAGAATTGAAACTTGTCAGTGTCCAAATATATCCTGTCTTTCTAAGAATGTTTAACCTAATGACTAGAATCCCTAAAATGCTCACATTGACTCAAAATTCATAGATAACAATCTGAAATTGTTCATCAATCAACGTATTGATTATGAGGAAGTTACAGAATGGTATTATAGTACCTTGTTCCTGCTCACTGGATTAAGTGCCCTTATATGGAAATACTCCTGTCTTAGAGTATGTTCTAATCCTGTATCCTTTTTTACAGTTTCCTTGAAAACTTTAAACATTAGATTCCACTCATGTTAGACCAATTATTTGATTAGTTAATGCATTTATCCAAAAAATATTAAGCTCAAATATCACTACCAATTGGACTAAACCAGTAGTTATTTCAATAACAGACTTCTCAAGAACTTGTTTGCATACCTGAAATTCTCACTAAGAGGATTTTCTTAAGTGATTAGTTAAGTTTAATTAAAACATAGTACGTTCAGTATTAGTTAACAAGTCACCCTCAAAATTGCAAACAGCACAAACCAATGTGTTGCTAATTGTGAGCTAGCTACTGCTCTAAGGCAATTAAGTAATTCATGTTTCAATTTTTTTGGGATGAGCTATTAATAGGATCACAAAAATGCATTTTAAAATTATTATAATTGTGCATGTACTCTGCTATTGTTTTACAAAGTAAGTAAATTCTCACTAGTGATTTGCAAATGGATTTTACTCATAGGTTGGAGGAAATTGCTGTTTCCACTAAGAGTTTAATGGTACCCATTTATTGTAATTTTACCCTAAGGAATCAGAAATGTTTTACTGCCTATGACGTTTTCTCAGTCCCTATTTTTCTTATGATATTTCCTTCCCTGATTTGGGTGCTGGATCATGCCTGTAATCCCAGCACTTTGGGAGACCAATGCAGGTGGATCACCTGAGGTCAGGAGTTTGAGACCAGCCTAACCAACATGGTGAAAGCCATCTCTACTAAAAATTAAAAAAATTAGCCAGGTGTGGTGGCAGGTGTCTGTAATCCCAGCTACTCGGGAGGCTGAGGTAGGAGAATCGCTTGAACCCAGGAGGCGGAGGTTGCAGTGAGTTGAGGTCATGCCACTGCACTCCAGCCTGGGGGACAGAGTGATTCCCCACACAAATATTCTCCTTCTTCCCATCCATTCAATGTGGCTATGATTTGCAGCTACATCAATATGCCAGATAGTTTTATGATGATGATGTTAATATTATTCAGAGATGAGCCATGGGAAATGCTGTATTTGTTTCTCATGCAGAAGTTTCTTACCCTGGAGTCAACAGTTCCCTAGAATTGGTTTTTGTTTGTTTGTTTAATTTGCTATTTTAGCCTCTGATATCTACTTATGTTGAATTGCTCTGTTGTTAACTTACTTAATTTGGGAAATGTTTCCCACAATTCATTTTTCTGTATAGTTCCAAGTTAGAATGGGCCAAAACGGAAATTTGTGCAAGATTTTGGAGGTGGAGATGAAGCACTGAATAAGCTTTCCAAGTATATTTTTATGGACAGAATTATGACAAATTTTATTAGTCCATTCTCATACTGCCAAAAAGACATACCTGACACTAGGTAATTTATGAAGAAAAGACATTTAATTGACTCACAGTCCTGCAGGCTGTACAAGAGGCATGGTTGAGGAAGCCTTGGAACACTTGCAATCATGGTGGAAAGGCAAAAGGGAAGCAAGCACCTTCTTCACATGGTGGAGGAAAGAGAAAGAGCAAAGCAGGAAGTGCTGCACACTTTCAAACCATCAGATCTTATGAGAACTCACTCACTATCACAAGAACAGCAAGGGGGAAATCTGCCCTCATAATTCAATCACCTCCCACCAGATCCCTCCCGCACCATTGGGTATTACAATTCAACTATGAGATTTGGGTGGGGGACATAGAGCTAAACCATATCACAAATACAGAGGTGCCTCCCGCTTGCTCTCCTCCACTCCCTGTCCAGTTCTTCTGGACCCTGGCTCTGCTGACCAACAGTGACTTCGAGCCCACTGTCAGATATACAGAAGTAAGAGCTTCCCATAGACCTCTCCACAAGCTCCCCTCTGGGAAATCCCTTTCGGCAGCTGGACATACTTGGCTTCTCAGATTTTCCTACAAGCTCCAACTTATCCACCTGTGCCAGGGCTTTCGGGGGGCTGGCTAGTGGTTTAATTCTCTAATTCTCCTATTGCCCCTTCCACACTTCACAGTCCCAGCTTCTACACTATGTACAACTTAAGCCTATAATTATCCTTGAACACTCATTGTGGTTGTTTCCCTGACTGAATGCTGAGACTGTAGTACTAATTCTTCCAAAATCATGAAAGGATTGGATTGTATACCTCTTCTCAAAATAGCCATATGCATTAAGTAATTGATTATCTCAGCTTCTTTTTTTCTTATAAAGTCCCTTTTGGGTCTCTCTGTCCTGATTTTACATGGACTAGTTACTCTGAAGATCTGAGGCATTTATGTTATGTGGGATTACCCTTTAGCTAAGCTATATCCTGAAAAATCCCTTTATGTCTCACTGATTCTTGAGTTTTTCTGTTTCCCAGATTCCATATATTCGTCTGTCTTGATTTGGTCTCCTGTTTTAGTGAAACAATATCTGTAGTAGCTTCTTGAGAAAGATGTTTGGGAATAGAGGTATTTTTATACCATTCTTCAAATTGGTACTATTTGGAGGTACCAATTCCCCATTTTTAAAAACTGGACTTTATGTTTTTCATCCCCTTACCTTTCTGTTCTATATTCTCTGAAATGTCTTCAAACTTATCTTCCAAAAATTTTTTTAATGTTTTTGTGCACTTAATTATAAAGACTTCTACTTCTTCAGGTATTTCTCTTTTATGGTGTTCTGTTCCTATTTTTTGGATTTTATAATTACTCATTCTTTTAGGGAGAAATTAAATTTTACAAATCATTATTTTTCGTGAACTGTATCTTTTCTTCTGTTATTTTCTTTTAATTTCTGTCATGTGAGTAGGACACCAAGAGGGTGCGTGGATGCCCTGGGTATATGGGTAGGGCATGTGTAGAGGTAGAATTCCATATATGATGACTAGGCAGGCACAGCATTTTGTGGTTTTGCTTTTGTCTATTTTTGTTTGTTTTATTTTTCTTAATTTTCAGAAGCTCATACACAGATTTGAGAAATCAGATTTATACACTGAGTGATCTTCATATAAGGAAACATTCATTAATTTACTTATTGATAGTAAATCTGAAAATGGTGTTAGGTAGTTATATGAAATGTATTCTTTCATACAGTCTCCAAATGCCTTTCAAAAACTGCATGTACTAATCAATAAAAAGCCATATTTCATTTGTGTTTTCCACTCAATATAAAAGAGACAATTGAACACGTTTTGGGAAAAAATAATTAGAATATAAGCAACACAGAAAATAAAAATATATGAAAAGGAAAAGATGAGAATGAAAACACTGAAACTTGACAGAGCATATAAACACGATAGTAGTTTTTAAAGAGAGAAATAGTATCTCAGCTCTGTTTTAATGATTCCATTACAAAATATGATGCTGTCAAAATAATCTCAGAATCCATATTTTTGAAAACTAAGCTATTTTATAAATAAAATCTGTGTTCTGGCATAGAAGTTATGATAAAATGTCTTTGCACGTGTAAGTCTTATTTTGAATCTCTTTTTAACTGTTCATATTTGGTTGGAATTCAAATCCTACAAGTTTCCTCTAAGAGAAATGTTCACGAAATTTTGTGTTCGTAGAAAACCGCAAAAGAACACATGTTTTCCTGGTTTTAGTTTAAACTCAGGCAGGAGTGGCAATATATAATAGATACTAGTTTTTCAAAAGTACCCTATATTACCACTACTTGAAAAATTCACATATAATGTTTTGTATTTTACATATGTTTTTGGTAATCTTTATTAATGTTTTTTATTTATCAAATACTTAGCAGACACTACATGCCAAACAAAGTACTAGACTCTGGGGATACAAAATGAGCAAAATAAAATCCCCTCCTTGCTCTCAGGGCACTTACAATTTGGTAAAAGAGACACACAAGTTTATTATCACAACAGTTTGTTACACTACAATGTTACAATGCGATACTTACTAAAATACAGACTGAGTAAGGATGCTTAGATCACATGAGTAGGGAAATACATCAAGTCTTGGGATCAGAAGACAAAAAGATTGGTCAAAGAAATTGATACAGAAAGGAAGTGAAAAAAAAAAACATAAAGGATGATGGAAGAGTGGTTGCAAACAGCACAGGGCAAGTCTGAGGGTTTTATTCAGTAGCAGATATTAGGACTTGGGTCCTGAAGGATCAGTCAGATTTCCTTTGAAAGTCTCTCTCAATCTCCAAAGATGGGTTAGCAACTTCTTTTAAGTTCCAGCTGCATCATAGCACTAACATACTCCACTGTAACCGCTTATTAATTGTCTATCTCTGCAAATAGAACTAGACTATGCTTATCTGGTTCCCAATTGTTTCCTAACTATTTAATAGAAGCACCTGACTTGTAGAATTTATTCAATAAGTATTTGCTAAACTAAATTTAAGTTATGAAATTAGACTTGGCAAAGGGTTAAAAGGGGGAATGACATTTCAAGAAGAAGGAAGTTCAGAAGTACAAAGGCATGGAAAGTGTAATAGTTCCTGATACAGTTCGGATCTACGTTCCCATCTAATCTCATGTCAAATTGTAATCCCTAGTGTTGGAGGTGAGGCCTAGTGGGAGGTGATTGGATCACGGGAGCAGATTTCTCAAGAATGGTTTAGCGTCATCCTCCTGGGTACTGTCTTCATGATGGTGGATAGTGAGCAAGTTCTCATGAGATCTGGTTGTTTAAAAATGTGTAGCCTCTCCTCCATCCCTCATTCTATGTTGCTCCTGCTCCTGCCATGTGAAATGCCTGCTCCCCATTCTCCTTCTGCCATAATTATCCGTTTTCTGAGGCCTCCCCAAAAGCCAAGCAGGTGCCAGCATCATGTTTCCCATACAGCCTGCAGAACTGTGAGCCAATAAACCTCTTTTCTTTATAAATTACCTATTCTCAGGTATTTCTTTATAGCAATGTGAAAACAGACTAACACAGTTCCACACAAATATCTGTGCATAATTGTTTATAGCAGCTTTATTCCAAACCTGAAAGCAACCAAAATGTCCTTCAACAGATGAATAAATTAACAAACTGGTACATACAGGCATACAATGGAAGATTATTCAGCAAGAAAAAGAAAGAAGCTAACAAGCCATAAAAAGACATGGAGAAAACTTAAATGTATATGGCTAAGTGAAAGAAGCCAATATGAAAAAGACTACATACTGTACGATTCCAACTGTATGATATTCCAAAAAAGACAAAACTATGGAGACAATAAAAAGATCAGTGGTTGGCAGGTTTTTAGAGAAAGGAAGGAAATAGTTAAGCACAGGGAGTTTGTAAGGTGATAAGATAACTCTGTGTGATACTATAATGGTGGATACTAGTTGATATGGTTTGGCTGTGTCCCCACCCAAATCTCATCTTGAATTTTAGCTCCCATAATTCCGTGTTCTAGGAGGGACCAGGTAGGAGGTAATTGAATTATGGGGTGTTTTCCCCCATACTGTTCTCATGGTAGTGAATAAGTCTCACAAGATCTGACGGTTTTATAAGGGGAAACCCCTTTTGCTTGGTTCTCATTCTCTCTTGTCTGCTGTCATGTAAGATGTGTTTTTCACCTTCTGCCGTGATTGTGAGGCCTTCTCAGCCACATGGAACTGTGAGTCCATTCAACCTCCTTTTCTTTATAAATTACCCAGTGTCAGGTATGTCTTTCTCTGCAGAATGAAAACAGACTAATATACTAGTCATCAAACATTAGTCAAACCCCACAGAATGTACAATATAAAGAGTGAACCCTATTGTGAACATTTTAGTTAATAATGATGTATCAATATCAGCTCATCAATTGTAATGGATAAGCCACATTAATGCAAAATGTTTATAATGGGGAAACCGTCTGAGGGTGTATGTGGGCATGCTCTGCACTTAAATTTTTCTGTAAACTTAAAATTGCTCAAAAATTAGATTTTATCAATTTTTTTTTTTTTTTTTTTTTTTGAGACAGAGTTTCACTCTTGTTGCCCAGGCTGGAGTGCAATTGCACAATCTCAGCTCACTGTAACCTCTGCCTCCCAGGTTCAAGCGATTCTCCTGCCTCAGCCTCCCGATTAGCTGGGATCACAGGCATGTGCCACTACGCCTGGCTAATTTTGTATTTTTAGTAGAGATGGGGGTTTCTCCATGTTGGTCAGGCTGGTCTCGAACTCCTGACCTCAGGTGATCCACCCGCCTTGGCCTCCCAATGTGCTGGAATTACATGCGTGAGCCACCATGCCCGAGTTTATCAATTTTTTAAAATGCAGTTTTGTGTGGAAGGAATTTGGAGTGAGAGGAGAGGAGTGTCCAGAGATGGTGTTCAAAAGGGGTCAGATTATCAGAGATCTCACATGCCAAAGAGAGGAAAGTAGGAGCCCCCACATGGTACCAGGCACCCATCAGGGTCTCAATATTGT
The DNA here is from genome assembly GCF_000001405.40 of Homo sapiens. NCBI lineage: Eukaryota > Metazoa > Chordata > Mammalia > Primates > Hominidae > Homo > Homo sapiens. The sequence goes on along the minus strand of NC_000012.12, from coordinate 28,684,620 downwards.
TGAATGAAAGTATAAGCACATGACTTTCAGATGGGGGCAATGGAGACCAATCAAAGGGTTTGAAGCAGGTAGCATGTTTACTTCTGTAGACTTAGTAAGACTGCAAAGCAATGCTAGCAGCAATAAAGGTAGCAGGGAAGAAAGTTAGGAAGCTATTGCAGTAGATCCAGTGACAGATGAGATGTCTTTTTTCACTCGGTGGTTGTTGGGATGGAATGGAACATCAGACTACACATTTTTCGAGCTGGGATGAGTAATTAGAAGTGGAGGAAGTGTGGAGGCCAAGCCATGGATAACTCCAAGTTTTCCCTCTTGAACAACAGAGCAAATTGTAATGCTGTATATACAGATTGAGAACACAGAAAGAAGATTAAAGCTGAGGTAAGAGACAAAGTATATTTGAAGTGTTTAGCTTTCATTCAAATGGAGCTTTCAGCAGGAATGCGGAAACCTCAGTGGGATCTCTGTAAGGAGACCAGTCCTGGAGGCATAATTTGGGAAGTTATCAGTACTAAAATTGGCAATAAAAAATTGCGGAAAAATGAGTTTGCCATAAAAACTGGGACAGAAAGACATCTGTTCAGCTCACATCATTTAGTTAGGAAAAACATTTTTAGTCTCTTCAGAAATTGAATCAAGGCAAGAAAAGTTAAGTAGCTGGCTCAGTAAATTACAAATGGTGAAAGAAGAGCTTGAACTCTGCATTCCTTGCATGCAAATTTTACTATTTACACCAACAATAAAAAGTAATAACAAATCAAATAATTTCTACAATACAGTTTGGTAGCCTATAGGCCATGTGGGCAACTGAAATACAGAAACAATTCTGATGGGAATACTAAATTAACCTGTCTGTATTTAAATTATCACTACGACTCGTATTTAACTGTTGTATTTTAAAACCATAACAAAATAAAAACTTAATTTCTAGAAACACATGTTGAATGCACATTAAAAATAAGAAAATTGTCTCTTTGGAAAGAGAAAGCACAGAGTCACACAAGTAGAGTGGCATTATCAGCAGCATGATCTCAAAATCATGTCTTTCATTATGAAGCAAGAAGTTTCATCAAGACAAACATTTCAGAAATCCAGCCAGCGGCATTCCAGGAATTTTTTTTAACCAATTGCAATTTTATTATCACAAATAAGAGAGTGCGTCCTATTCAATTCAATATCATGAGATATTCCAGTATTTAAATGTAAAATTGAAAATAAACATACATGTTCAAAAAATTAGAAAGGAAAAGCCAAAACATTTACTATTTGGAAACAATATAATACCACAGGAAGAAAATTCTTTGTCATATCAGCTATTATATTTTCTTATTGGTCATTACTAATATGTAAAATGGATGAGTTCTTTTTGTAAGCTAATCTTGGTTTCAATTACCTTACTGAGCTCTCGCTAGTTTTAATCGTTTCTCAGTTGATTATCTTGGACTTTATCAGTAGGCTGAGGAGACAATTTTATGAGTTCACCAAAATCATTTTACTTTCCTCCTGGACTTACATGAAAACTACCTTCCTTGCCTCTCTGCCAGCAAAGTGAGGCAAGTTCTGAATGTAGACAACAGTTATGTATACAATTTCCAAGGCTGGAAATTGTATAATTTCCAATTATGTATACAATTAGTATACAATTTCATAAAGTGTCCTGAATTATTCTTCACACACGCTCTCTCTGTTCTGTTTTCCTGCTAGATAATAAGACACAGGACAACTTGGGAGTCTCTTGTTGATCATAGCAGAGCGTCAGTCCAAACTCCCAGAATGACTGGGTGAAGCCTAACACCATTCAGCCTGGACCACACTGCACTGTGATGTGAGCGAGAAAATCTAACTGTTTTAGCTAGAATAACTTACTTTGACCAACATAAAAACTAACATGAAATTTAAATCTTTTTTGAGCTAAAATTAAAACCGTACTAAAAGTCTTGGGAGAGCTATACTAATTTACGGATGCAATGTTATAAATATATAGATTAATCTGTAAGTCCATGCAACCCTAATCAAAAGCCAAAAATAATATATTATGGAAATGCTAAGGTTAAATAAGAAATTCTTATGAAAGAATAAGATAGCTAATATAATTTTGAAAAGACTAATAATAAGACATAAAAATATATTTTAAAGCTATACAAATTACTATAGGGTTGTGATTTTACAGAATTATTCAGTGGAATCAATTAGAAAGCAAGAAAAAGATTCATAATATATAAAAGTTTAATTCAAGAGAAAATTAGCATTTGAAGTCAGCATGGACTATTCAATAAATGATATCGAGATAAGAGGCTAATTACTGTAATAAGCGGGTAAGATTAGACCACCTCACAGCATTCAAAAAACTATAATGAATTAAAAACCAAAACATAAAAATCAAAGCTACAAAAATAAAACAAGGAAATACAGAAGACTATGTTTATGACGTCAGGGAAGATAGGCCTGCCTAAACAAGTCATAAAAATTAAAAGTCATAAATAATTAATGGCAAATCAAATCAAAAGGAAAAGAAAAGTAAAATGAATAAAAGATAAGGAGCATAGGTCATAAATTGGGTAATTCACAGGTGAAATAAAAACATTAAATTAAAAAGATGCTCAATCTCACTTATAATTGGGTGTATGAAAATTTAAATAAGGCCAACTTTTTACTCTCAAAATTAGCAAATTTTAAAACTTTTGATAATTTCAACTATTGTTAAGGATTTGTAGAAGTAGATATTGCTAAACATTATGGATAAAAAGTAAATTGGAACAGTAGCCTAGGAAGGCAATTTAATGATTTGGTATTATCTATTCCAGTTGAAAATGAGCATGCCCTATGATTTAGAAATTCTACTACTTCATTTCCATGCTGGCTACAAACATTTAATGTGTGGCTAAGAAGGCTCATACAAATATGTTCATTTCAGCATTATTTATATTAACAAAAAAATACAAACAACCTAAGTGTCCCTCCTTATGGGAGTGGTTAAATAAACTTTGGTCTATTGTTCAATATTGGTTATAAAAAATGTGACAGGCATAAATATATTCAGACGGACATAATCTGAAGGTACATTACTGAAAGTCAGAAAGTGGAAGTGAAGAGTGGAGGCCACACTTCTGCTCCTCCTGCCTACTAGCACAATTATGGAAGTGTTTGTGCTTTCTGCCCAGTGCCCATTTGCCTGTGTTTATGCATATTGCAAGCCGATCATTGGGCATTGATTTGCTGGCTTGAATCATGGTTGCAACAGTGAGGTCCTGAAGCAATAGTAGTGGCAGCAGTTTCCTGATACCTCAGCTTGTTGACCATAAAAAGAGGGAGCAGGCCAACACTGTAGTGTTCTGGAGATTTTCCCAGAAGCCCATCTCACAGTTTATTTTCCTAGTTGAACCAACTGTTTTGGAAACATGTAATTTCCTATATTTGTTCTTTTTTTCAAACTAGCCAGAGAGGTTTCCATTATCTGTAACTGAACTTTAACATATAGTATTTGGTACTAGAAACGGTTGTGGGCAACAGGTTTTCAAGGTCAAGAATGTCTGATTGTTAATATTTGACCTAGTTGGTTTTGAGTAATGTCAATCTGGGTAGCATTAAAGGATACAAATACTGATAATCTAAGGAAACTTAAATTTACCTGTGTTCACCTTGAATAAAATGCCAATTGAAGTTGTGGCGTTGGTGGATTAAGTGGTGACTGCCTTTATATAATATGTATAGCAGGTAAAATACAGGACTGTGGGATGGGGTGGTCTTTTTATAAAAAAGCCCACTTAACATTACAATGAAAATTATAGAATCCGGGTTTTTAATTCTCAGTCCCAAGAATGATCAGAGAATTGGGACGTTTATGTGAACGTCCTCAGAAATCTATGTCTTACATCCACAGCGTTGATGTAGTCAAAAAGCACAGGCAGAGGCAAACCTTAGCACACATACACTGCAATGAAGGTTTAATTCTCAACCTCAGAGCATCTCTTGTTTGAAGGTTGTGAAAGTTAGGGTATTGACTGGAAAAATTGGAACCCTGAGAAATAGAATTACAAAATTTTGTTGAGTATAGAAGACTGAATTTACCTCTAAGCCCTGAAACCCATGAGGCCTCCCTAGCTTCATCTTATGAAATGGGTCCTCTCAGCTAGAAGACAGGTACTGATCTCACTGGAGGTCATGACTTGCAAAGAAACACCATTTCTCTTGGAGCCCTATTTCTCTACCTGTCATAGCCTCCATACCAAAACTGAGCCAGACCCTCCATACCAAAACTGAGCCAACATTCCTCAGAGGACCACTTGGAAAATCAAACTTGAAAGGGAAGGTTCAGTCCCTAAAGAGATGGCAAAGATTTATTTATATTAGAAAAAATTTAAAAACACTAGAAAATACATGCAAAAATAAATTCCAAGGGTTTTAGAACAGGAGTAGAAATATACAATTTTGCTTCTGACTGAATGAATCAACATAGGTGTTCACATGAAAGACTCTCAGTTCACTGTGCTAACTCAAGAAACTGGGAATTTTGTACAGACAACTAATTAAAACCTAGCCTTAATGGCAAATAAGTACGCATGTTAACTTATTTATTCTTCTCAATGACTCTAGAAAGTAACAATTAATATTACCCTATCAGATCAAATTAAATACTCTGACCGATATTATGCAGCAGAGATAGGACTGAACCACTCTTAGAAAGAACACACAAATTAGACTTTTTTTTTTCCACTTTTTACCTACGGTATACCATTCTATGAACCTATCTAGGAAGATGCATCTTACAAGTACTAGTAAAATCAAATAATGCTTTTCCACTTTTTTCCAAGGAAAGCCACCAAAACAAAAGGTAAAAACAATAGAAAAGAGAACAATGATGAGAAGGCACCAAAATCAGAGCAAAAATAATAATAAAAAGGGCAACAGATACAAAGAAAGGGAGGCAAAATCATAGAAAGGTATCCATAAGATAATAAAGGTAGAGCAGATGAATGAAAACATTTTCAAATGCGTTTTCCTTTAAAATAATAATGTGACAGTATAAATGAAAATTTCAGCCACCACATAGAAAAATCACAGTAAGATGCCCCACAGTCTTTACTTGAAAGCAAATCACCTGTTAGGATCATAAAATCAATGATTATTAGAGCACAAAGGGACCTCAGAGTTTATCTAATGTAAACTCTGCCTTTGTATTGGTGGTTTATATCCTAAAGTGCTATATAAGGGGCTCTGTAACTCATTTTCACTAACCTACTTTCTTGTGTTAGCAAATAATATGTATGTGAATGGTCGAAGGAATTCTCAGAGATTATAGGTAAATCAATATCATGTACTACTAATCATTATAATCCTAGTGTAACAGTAAAAATAATTGATGAAACTTTTCAGAGTAGGAATCTTGATGAGATCTATGTCATAATTTTAAGATAAAGGGATTATCCTCTCGATATTGGTGGAAAACAGCAGCCTTGAATTTTCTTCCTAGACACTGTAGAGAATGGTATAAAATGTCTCAGAAAAAAATAAGCAATTCATTATTATAAAGACATTTGAAACATAGGCATCTGGGGATCAGAGAAAGGAAGCAGCATCTGTTTTGGCCAAGAAGCAAATTGTTTAAAGGCCTGCTAACTTAGCCATATTCATTTATAGTGGTTTTTCATCAAAAGAGATCCCATAGTTAATTCTAACATGTTTATGTCTGGTAATGGAATATTAATCAAGAAGATGTCACTTTTTTCTGAAGACTTTATTTAGTTTACATACCCAGCTGGCACTTAGCATTGCCTCACTACTGTCATCATTCACTTTGCAGATCTTGTCTCATTTCCGTGTAGTTTATGGCCTAAGGAATTACAAGGAACAGATTGCCTGGAAACTTTTTTATAAAAATTTGATTATATGGTGTATAGTGAATATTACAGTAATATTCGCTAAATTTGACAAGAATGTACTGTTCACGTGAAAAAATCCTGTATTTACATAAAAATTCCTCATGATTACTGTAAGATTATAACTAATGTTAAATTTTTAAAAATCATCAAATTGGACTCAGTCTTTCTCATAAAGTTACCAATCAGAAGACAAAATGATTGAATAAAGATATTGATCTGGATTGCTGAATAGTGAGGAGGGGGCACTGTGTAACGTACATTTGGGACCTATGTGTCCTTGTTTTCTAGAATTGTAGAATAAAAATGCATTTAGAAAAACAAGTCTAAAAGAAAATAGAGATTTTAAAAACAGTAAGAGATACTGTGAACAAACATATCGAAACTTAGAAGAAAAGGATAGTTTTCCCAAAATGACTTAAGAAGACACAGAAAATCTAATAAACCCCCCCAAAAAATTAAAGAAATTGAAAGTCACCTTATCCTAAAGACCAGACCCAGATACCTTTAGAGATGACTTTAACCAAACTTTCAATAAATGGATAATCCCCGTGTCATAAACTTGTTTCAAATAATAGAAAAATTGGAAAAGCTACCTAATTCATTTCATGAATTTACAATTGACTTCATGCCAAAGCCAGGCAAATACAGTCCAAGAAAAGGGAGTTATGGACCAACTCACTTGTGAACATAAATGCAAAGATATTAAATTAAATACTAAGAAACTAAATCACCAGTGCCCAAAAGAATAGTTTCAGTAAGTAGGTTTTATCCCAGGAATTCTTAGATAACCAAACATCAGAATGTCTAATATTATTCACTGTATTAGTAAAATGAAGGCGATAAGACATACGATCTCTCAAGAGATGCAGTAGATGAAGGAAAATATCCATTTAGGTAAACATTCATAATAAAAGCAACTTTTACATAATAAAAGCACAGAAAACAAAAGACTTCATGATATAAGCAATTTGCTAGTCAGTGTTGTGTGGGAAGTTAAAAAAAAGAAAAGCAGCAATTTGCAAAATAAGAGCAAAATAAGCATTAAACAGAATGTTTTCCAACTTCCTTCTTCCTTCATCTAAAGTGATGAAACTTCGGAATCATTTGCACTATATCAGAACAAGATAAGAGCCTCCTATTGTGACTTCAATATTAAGCTATTTTTCAAAAGGCATAATTAGAAAGAAGACAATATTATCCTTCTTTGCTGATGATATCATTCTATTGGATTTTGTATCCAACAGAATGTTCACAAAACCTATTAAACTTATATGAGGATTTAGCAAAATTCCTGGATAAATTATTAACATATAAAAAATAGTATCATAAAAAATGTTAAGGGCAGCCAGAGAAAAAGTCGGGTTACCCACAAAGGGAAGCCCATCAGACTAACAGCTGATCTCTTGGCAGAAACTCTACAAGCCAGAAGAGAGTGGGGGCCAATATTCAACATTCTTAAAGAAAAGAATTTTCAACCCAGAATTTCATATCCAGCCAAACTAAGCTTCATAAGTGAAGGAGAAATAAAATACTTTACAGACAAGCAAATGCTGAGAGATTTTATCACCACCAGGCCCGCCCTAAAAGAGCTCCTGAAGGAAGCACTAAACATGGAAAGGAACAACCAGAACCAGGCACTTCAAAAACATGCCAAATTGTAAAGACCATCGAGGCTAGGAAGAAACTGCACCAACTAACGAGCAAAATAACCAGCTAACATCATAATGACAGGATCAAATTCACACATAACAGTATTAACCTTAAATGTAAATGGGCTAAATTCTCCAATTAAAAAACACAGACTGGCAAATTGGATAAAGAGTCAAGACCCATCAGTGTGCTGTATTCAGGAGACCCATCTCATGTGCAGAGACACACATAGGCTCAAAATAAAGGGATGGAGGAAGATCTACCAGGCAAATGGAAAATAAAAAAAGGCAGGGGTTGCAATCCTAGTCTCTGATAAAACAGACTTTAAACCAAGAAAAGAGACAAAGAAGGCCATTACATAATGGTAAATGGATCAATTCAACAAGAAAAGCTAACTATCCTAAATATATATGCACCCAATACAGGAGCACCCAGATTCATAAAGCAAGTCCTTAGAGACCTACAAAGAGACTTAGACTCCCACACAATAATAAGGGGAGACTTTAACACCCTACTGTCAACATTAGACAGATCAACGAGACAGAAAGTTACCAAGGATATCCAGGAATTGAACTCAGCTCTGCACCAAGCAGACCTAATAGACATCTACAGAACTCTCCACCCCAAATCAACAGAATATACATTCTTTTCTGCACCACACCACACCTAATCCAAAATTGACCACATAGTTGGAAGTAAAGCACTCCTCAGCAAATGTAAAAGAACAGAAATTATAACAAACTGTATCTCAGACCACAGTGCAATCAAACTAGAATTCAGGATTAAGAAATTCACTCAAAACCACTCAACTACATGGAAACTGAACAACCTGCTCCTGAATGAATACTGGGTACATAATGAAATGAAGGCAGAAATAAAGATGTTCTTTGAAGCCAAGGAGAACAAAGACACAACATACCAGAATCTCTGGGACACATTCAAAGCAGTGTGTAGAGGGAAAAGGGAAATTTACAGCACTAAATGCCCAGAAGAGAAAGCAGGAAAGATCTAAAATTGGCACCCTAACATCACAATTAAAAGAACTAGAGAAGCAAGAACAAACACATTCAAAAGCTAGCAGAAGGCAAGCTAAGATCAGAGCAGAACTGAAGGAAATATCCCTTCAAAAAATCAATGAATCCAGGACGTGGTTTTTTGAAAAGATCAACAAAATTGATAGACCACTAACAAGACTAATAAAGAAGAAAAGAGAGAATAATCAAATAGATGCAATAAAAAATGATAAAGGGGATATCACCACCGATCCCACAGAAATACAAACTACCATCAGAGAATACTATAAACACCTCTATGCAAATAAACTAGAAAATCTAGAAGAAATAGATAAATTCCTCGACACATACAACCTCCCAAGACTAAACCAGGAAGAAGTTGAATCTCTGAATAGACCAATAACAGGCTCTGAAATTGAGGCAATAATTAATAGCTTACCAACCAAAAAAACTCCAGGACCAGATGGATTCACAGCCGAATTCTACCAGAGGTATAAGGAGGAGCTGATACCATTCCTTCTGAAACTATTCCAATCAATAGAAAAAGAGGGAATCCTCCCTAACTCATTTTATGAGGCCAGCATCATCCTGATACCAAAGCTTGGCAGAGACACAACCAAAAAAGAGAATTTTAGACCAATATCCTTGATGAACATTGATGCAAAAATCCTCAATAAAATACTGGCAAACTGAATCCAGCAGCACATCAAAAAGCTTATCCACCATGATCAAGTGGGCTTCATCCCTGGGATGCAAGGCTGGTTCAACATACGCAAATCAATAAATGTAATCCAGCATATAAACAGAACCAAAGACAAAAACCACATGATGATCTCAATAGATGCAGAAAAGGCCTTTGACAAAATTATACAGCCCTTCATTCTAAAAATTCTCAATAAATTAGGTGCTGATGGGACGTATCTCAAAATAATAAGAGCTATCTATGACAAACCCACAGCCAATATCATACTGAATGGGCAAAAACTGGAACATTCCCTTTGAAAACTGGCACAAGACAGGGATGTCCTCTCTCACCACTCCTATTCAACATAGTGTTGGAAGTTCTGGCCAGGGCAATTAGGCAGGAGAAGGAAATAAAGGGTATTCAATTAGGAAAAGAGGAAGTCAAATTGTCCCTGTTTGCAGATGACATGATTGTATATCTAGAAAACCCCATCGTCTCAGTCCAAAATCTCCTTAAGCTGACAGGCAACTTCAGCAAAGTCTCAGGATGCAAAATCAATGTGCAAAAATCACAAGCATTCTTATACACCAATAACAGACAAACAGAGAGCCAAATCATGAGTGAACTCCCATTCACAGTTGCTTCAAAGAGAATAAAATACCTAGGAATCCAACGTACAATGGACATGAAGGACCTCTTCAAGGAGAACTACAAACCACTGCTCAATGAAATAAAAGAGGATGCAAACAAATAGAAGAACATTCCATGCTCATGGGTAGGAAGAATCAATGTTATGAAAATGGCCATACTGCCCAAGGTAATTTATAGATTCAATGCCATTCCCATCAGGCTACCAATGACTTTCTTCACAGAATCGGAAAAAACTACTTTAAAGTTCATAGGAAACCAAAAAAGAGCCTGCATTGCCAAGTCAATCCTAAGCCAAAAGAACAAAGCTGGAGGCATCACGCTACCTGACTTCAAACTATACTACAAGGCTGCAGTAACCAAAACAGCATGATACTGGTACCAAAACAGAGATACAGACCAATGGAACAGAACAGAGACCTCAGAAATAATTCCGCATATCTACAACTATCTGATCCTTGACAACCCTGACAAAAACAAGAAATGGGGGAAGGATTCCCTATTTAATAAATGGTGCTGGGAAAACTGGCTAGCCATATGTAGAAAGCTGAAACTGGATCCCTTCCTTACACCTTATACAAAAATTAATTCAAGATGGATTAAAGATTTCAATGTTAGACTTAAAACCATAAAAACCCTATAAGAAAACATAGGCAATACCATTCAGGGCATAGGCATGGGCAAGGGCTTCCTGTCTGAAACACCAAAAGCAATGGCAACAAAAGCCAAAATTGACAAATGGGATCTAATTAAACTAAAGAGCTTCTGCACAGGAAAAGAAATGACCATCAGAGTGAACAGGCAACCTACAGAATGGGAGAAAATTTTTGCAATCTACGCATCTGACAAATGGCTAATATCCAGAATCTACAATGAACTCAAACAAATTCACAAGAAACAAACAAACAACCCCATCAAAAAGTGGGCAAAGGATATGAACAGACACTTCTCAAAAGAAGACATTTATGCAGCCAAAAGACACATGAAAAAATGCTCATCATCACTGGCCATCAGAGAAATGCAAATCAAAACCACAGTGAGATACCATCTCATACCAGTTAGAATGGCGATCATTAAAAAGTCAGGAAACAACAGGTGCTGGAGAGGATGTGGAGAAATAGGAACACTTTTACACTGTTGGTCGCACTGTAAACTAGTTCAACCATTGTGGAAGACAGTGTGGTGATTCCTCAGGGATCTTTAACTAGAAATACCATTTGACCCAGCCATTGCATTACTGGGTATATACTCAGAGGATTATAAATCATGCTGCTATAAGGACACATGCACACATATGCTTATTGCGGCACTATTCACAATAGCAAAGACTTGGAACCAACCCAAATGCCCAACAATGATAGACTGGATTAAGAAAATGTGGCACATATACACCATGGAATACTATGCAGCCATAAAAAATGATGAGTTCATGACCTTTGTAGGGACATGGATGAAGCTGGAAACCATCATTCTCAGCAAACTATCGCAAGGACAAAAAAACCAAACACTGCATGTTCTCACTCATAGGTGAGAACTGAACAATGAGAACACTTGGACACAGGAAGGGGAACATCACACACTGGGGCCTGTTGTGGGGTGAGGGGAGCAGGGAGGGATAGCATTAGGAGATATACCTGACGTTAAATGACGAGTTAATGGGTGCAGCATACCAACATGGCACATGTATACATATGTAACAAACCTGCACGTTGTGCACATGTACCCTAAAACTTTTTTTCTTTTAGTATTATTATTATTATTATTATTATTATACTTTAAGTTTTAGGGTACATGTAATGTACATGAGGATGGAATGTTTTTTCATGTGTTTGTGTCCTCTCTTATTTCCTTGAGCTGTGGTTTGTTGTTCTCCTTGAAGATGTCCTTCACATCCCTTGTTAGCTGTATTCCTAGGTATTTTATTCTCTTTGTAGCAATTGTGAATGTGAGTTCATTCATGATTTGGCTCTTTGCTCATCTATTGTTGGTGTAAAGGAATGCTTGTGATTTCTGCACGTTGATTTTGTATCCTGAGACTTTGCTGAAGTTGTTTATTAGCTTAAAAAGTTTTTTGGCTAAGATGATGGGGTTTTCTAAATATAGAATCATATTGTCTGCAAACAGAGACAATTTGAATTCCTCTCTTCCTATTTGAATACTCTTTATTTCTTTCTCTTGCCTCGATTGCACTGGCCAGAATTCCAGTACTATGTTGAATAGGGGTAATGAGAGAGGGCATCCTTGTCTTGTACCAGTTTTCAAAAGGACTGCTTCCAGATTTTGCCCATTCAATGTGATATTGACTGTGGGTTTGTCATAAATAGCTCTTACTATTTTGAGATATGTTCCATCAATACCTAGTTTATTCGGAGTTTTTAACATGAAGGGATGTTGAATTTTATCAAAGACCTTTCCTAAATCTATTGAGATAATCATGTAGTTTTTGTCTTTGGCTCTGTTTATGTGATGGATTATGTTTATTGATTTACATATGTTGAACCAGCCCAGGGATGAAGCTGACTTGATCATGGTGGGTAAGTTTTTTGATGTGCTGCTGTATTCGGTTTGCCAGTATTTAACTGAAAATTTTTGCATTGATGTTCAACAGGGATATTGGCCTGAAGTTTTCTTCTTTAGTTGTATCTTTGCCAGGTTTTGGTATCAGGATAAAGCTGGCTTCATAAAATAAGTTATGGAGGAATCTCTCCTTTTCAATTGTTTGGAATAGTTTCAGAGGGAATAGTACCAGCTCCTCTTTGTACCTCTGGTAGAATTCAGCTGTGAATCTGTCTGGTCATGGGCTTTTTTTGGTTGGTAGGCTATTAATTACTGTCTTAATTTCAAAACCTGTTACTGGTCTATTCAGGGATTTGACTTCTTCCTGGTTTAGTCTTGGAAGGGTATGTGTCCAGGAATTTTTCTATTTCTTCTAGATTTTCTAGTTTATTTGCACAAAGGTGTTTATAGTTTTCTCTGATGATAGTTTGTGTTTCTGTGGGGTCAGTGGTGATATCCCCTTTATCATTTTTATTGTATCTATTTGATTCTTCTCCCTTTTCTTCTTTATTAGTCTAGCTAATGGTCTATTTTGTTAATTTTTTCAAAAAACCACCTCTTGGATTCATTGATTTTTTTTGAAGGTTTTTCATGTCTCTATCTCCTTCAGTTCCTCTCTGATCTTAGTATTGCTTGTCTTCTCCTGACTTTTGAATTAGTTTGCTCTTGCTTCTCTAGCTCTTTTAATTGTGATGTTAGGTTGTCAATATGAGATCTTTCTAGCTTTCTGATGTGGGCATTTAGTACTATAAATTTCCCTCTTGACACTGCTTTAGCTGTGTCCCAGTGATTCTGGTACTTTGTCTCTTTGCTCTCATTGGTTTCAAAGAACTTTTTGATTTCTGCCTTAATTTCATTATTTGCCCAGGAGTCATTCAGGAGCAGGTTATTCAATTTCCATAAAACTGTGTGGTTTGAGTGAGTTTCTTAATCCTGAATTCTAATTTGATTGTACTGTGGTCTGAGAGACTGTTTATATGATTTCAGTTCTTTTGCATTTGCTGAGGAGTGTTTTACTTCCAATTATGTGGTCGATTTTAGAATAAATGCCATGTGGCACTGAGAAGAATGCATATTCTGTTGATTTGGGGTGGAGAGTTCTGTAGATGTCTATTAGGTCCACTTGATCTAGTGCTAAGTTCAGGTCTTGAGTATCTTTGTTAATTTTCTGTCTCATTGATCTGTCTAATATTGACAATGGGATGTTAATGTTCCCCACTATTATGGTGTGGGAGTCTACATCTCTTTGTGGGTCTGTAAGAACTTGCTTTATGAATCTGCGTGCTCCTGCATTGGGTGCATATATATTTAGGATAGTTAGCTCTTCCTGTTGAATTGATCCCTTTACCATTATGTAATGCCCTTCTTTGCCTTTTTTTGACCTTTGTTGGTTGAAAGTCTGTTTTGTCAGAGACTAGGATTGCAACCCCTGCTTTTTTCTTGCTTTCCATTTTCTTGGTAAATTTCCCCCCATCCCTTTATTTTGATCCTATGTGTGTCTTTGCACATGAGATATGTCTCCTGAATACAGCACACTGATGGGTCTTGACTCTTTATCCAATTTGCCAGTCTGTTAATTGGTGGGCTTTTAGCCCATTTACATTTAAGGTTAATATTCTTATGTGTGAATTTGATCCTGTCATCATGATGCTGTCTGATGATTTTGCACACTAGTCAATGCAGTTTCTCCATAGTGTCATTTGTCTTTATGTTTTGGTGTGTTTTTGCAGTGGCTGGTACCGCTTTTTTCTTTCCATATTTAGTGCTTCCTTCAGGAGCTCTTGCAAGGCAGGCCTGGTGGTGATGAAATTCCTCAGCATTTGCTTGTCTGGAAAGGATTTTATTTCCCCTTTGCTTATGAAGCTTAGTTTGGCTGGATATAAAATTCTGGGTTGAAAATTCTTTTCTTTACAAATGTTGAATATTGGCCCCAATCTCTTCTGGCTTGTAGGGTTTGTGCTGAGAGGTCCACTGTTAGATTTATGGGCTTCACTTGGTAGGTGACCTGGCCTTTCTCTCTGGCTGCCCTTAACATTTTTCCTTCCTTTCAACCTTGGAGAATTTGATGATTATTTGTGTTGGGGTTGATCTTCTCGTGGAGTATCTTAATGGTGTTCTCTCTATTTCCTGAACTTGCACGTTGCTAGGTTGGGGAAGTTCTCCTGGATAATATCCTGATGTGTGCTTTCCAGCGTGTTTACATTCTTCCTGTCTCCTTCAGGCACTCCAATCAATCATAGCTTTGGTCTTTTTACATAGTCCCGTATTTCTCGGAAGCTTTGTTCATTCATTTTCGTTCTTTTTCCTCTGATCTCGTTTGCATGCCTAATTTCAGCAACTTGGTCTTCAAACTCTGATATCCTTTTTTCCACTTGGTTGATTTAGCTATTGATACTTGTGTATGCTTCACGAAGTTCACATGCTGTGTTTTTCAGCTCCCTCAGTTCATTTATATTCCTCTCTAAACTGGTTATTCTAGTTAGCAGGTCCTCTTACCTTTTATCAAGGTTCTTAACTTCTTTGCATTAGGTTGGAATATGCTTCTTTAGCTCAGTGGAGTTTTTTATTACCCATCTTATGAAGTGTACTTCTGTCAATTTGTCCAACTCATCTGCCATCCAGTTCGGTACCCTTGCTGGAGAGGTGTTGTGATCATTTGGAGGAAGAGGCAGTCTGGCTTTTTGAATTTTCAGTTTTTTTCGTTCATTCTTTCCCATCTTCATGAGTTTGTCTAGTTTCAATCTTTGAGGCTGCTGACGCTTGGATAGGGTTTTTGTGGGGACTTTTTGTTGTTGTTGTTGATACTGTTTTTGTTGCTTTCTGTTTGTTTGTTTGCTTTTCTTTCAATGGTCAGGTCCCTCTTCTGTAGGGCTGCTGCAGTTTTCTGGGGGTTCACTTCAAGCCCTATTCAACTGGTTTGCTCCTCTGCCTGGAGATGTTACTCAAGGAGGCTGGAGAATAACAAAGATGGGTGCCTGCTCCTTCTTCTAGGATCTCTGTCCTCAAGGAACACCAACCTGATGCCAGTAGGGTTGCTCCTTTATAGGGAGTCTGACAACCCCTGTTGGAAGATTTCACCCAGTTTGGTGGCAGGGGGAACAGGACCCATTTAATGAAGCACTTTGACTGTCCCTTGGTGGAAGGGGTGTGCTTCACTAGGGGGAAACCCACTCATCTGGGCTGCCTGTATTCCTCAGAACTACCAGGAGGAAAGGTGAAGTTGCCTAATTCGCAGAGACTGTGGCCACTCCTTCCCCTAGGAGCTCAGGCCCAGGGAGGTCCAGGTTGTGTCCCTGAGCCTCTGGCTGGAGTTGTTGGAGTTCCTGCAGGGAGGTCCCACCCAGTGAGCAAGGATGGATCAGGGTCAGGCCTGAAGAGGTGCTCTGGCCACAGTCTACCACAGCTGGTGTGTTGGGCTGTCTGTGGGTGACACCTCTTGAGACCAAGCTATCCAGCCTCCCTGGTTCCAGCAGGGGAAAATCATGGCCTGGAGCTATAGAAATGGCTGCTGCCTATTCCCTGCCCAGGGAGCTTAGTGTGTTAGGCAGTTATCAGTGCCAGTGCTGGCTGCTGCTCCTCCCCCAGAGAGCTTAAAAGGCTTAGACAGCAGAAAGCTGCGACTGTGGTGCTGGTCACCCCCAGCAACTCTGGGAACTCAGCAGGTTTAAGCAGATTCTAGCTGAGAGACTGTTGAGAATCTGCGTGGCTGTAGGATTGGGACCCTAGGCCCCAATGGCATGGGTTCATGAGTGGGATCTTCCAATCCGCAGGTTGCACAGTTCCGTGGAAAAAGCACAGTTTCCTCGACTGGGTAGCATGCTCAGTCACTACCTCCCTTGGCTGGGGGGTGAGGGTTCCCCTGCCCCATGTGGCTTTCAAGTGGGCCACCGCACCACACTGCTCTTTCTTCCTCTCCATGGATTACGCCAGCCGCCTATTCAGTTCTGATGAGAAAACCTGAATACTTTGGTTGCTGGTGCAGGATTCACATGCTTTTATGGCTCTTTCTGATGGGAGCCTCCAATCGCCACTGCTTCCATTCAACTGTCTTGGCCCCACACTTTCTCAGTATTAGAGTTTTAAAAATTTTATTGTGCATATACTTTTACCAGTGATTTTTATACTTTCATGTTTTCATTTTACTAATTAGCTTTCTTTTCTTTTAGTTTGAAGAGCCTTCTTTAACATTTTTTATAAGACAAGTCTGATGGCCATGTACTTCCTCAGCTTTTGTTTGTCTGGGAAAGTCTTCATCTCATTTTCATTTCTTAATGACAGCTTTGCCAACTACAGTATTCCTGTTTGCCACTTTTTCCTTCAGCACTTAGAATATATCATCCCACATTTTTCTGACCTGTAAGATATCTGCTAAGAAGTCTGTTGCTAGCCTTATAAGAATTTCTTTACATGTGACTTAATTCTTTTCCTAGTCTGCTTTCAGGATTCTCTGACTATAATTTTTGACAGTTTGATTATATTTCTTGGTGTAGTCCTGTTTGAACTGAATCTGATTGGAGACCATTGAGTTTTCTGTATCTGAATATTCATATTTTTCCCAAGATTTGGAAAGTGTTCTCTTATTATTTATTTTTTTTTAAAATAAGCTTTCTACCCCATTACCTCTTTCCTTTAACTCCCATAACTCAAATATTTGTTTTCATGATGTCCATAAATCTCATAAGCATTTTTATTACTTTTCATTCTTTTTTCTTTTTTCTCCTCTGTGAATTTTAAAATAAGATGTTTTCAAGTTCACACATTTTTCTGCTTAATCAATTCTGCTATTGATTCTTTCTATTGCATTTTTATTTCATGTAATATATTTTTCAGCTCCACAATTTCCTTTTTTAAAATAATTTTAATCTGTCTATTGTTTTTCATTTTGGTCACTTATTGTTTTCCTGATATCTTTTTTTTTTTTTTTTTGTCTATTTTCTTGAAGTTCTCTGAGCCTCCTAAGAATAATTACTTTGAATTCTTTTTCAGGCAGCTTGTATATCTCTGTTTCTTTTAGGTCAGCTACTGGGAGATTATTGCATTCTTTTTTTTTTTTTTTTTTGGTGTTATTTCTCCTTGGTTTTTAATAGTTTTTGATGCCTTATGTTTATGCCTGTCTATTTGAATAACGCTGTAATTTGACTGTTACTGCTTTTTCCCTTTACCTGATATAATTTTTGTCTCTGAATGCTTTTAAGATTGTGTCTTTATTATTGATTTTTATCAGTAAGAATAAATATGCCAAGGTGTGGATTTTCTTATTCTATTGAGCTTTTTGAATGTTGGCATTCATGTCTTTCATCATATTTAAAAAATTCTCAACCTTTAAATATTGTTTCTGTTTTATTCTCTTAATTCCCCTTATATGAGAGCTTTTGACCAATACCACATATCTCTTCTACCCTAGATTTTGTTCTGAACTTTTTTGTA
Organism: Homo sapiens; assembly: GCF_000001405.40. Classification (NCBI taxonomy): domain Eukaryota; kingdom Metazoa; phylum Chordata; class Mammalia; order Primates; family Hominidae; genus Homo; species Homo sapiens. The sequence continues at coordinate 28,666,762 of NC_000012.12, read as the reverse complement.
TTCAAAAATGATATAGTCTATTGATCTCAATTTGAGTTTTGCCATTCTTTCTTTTTTTGTCTTAGACCTATTGTTAAATCCATCTACTGAATTCTTAATTATTACAGTTTTTGGTTCTAGAAAATCCACTTTATTCTTTCTTATAAAATTTAATTCTCTTTTAAAAGGACCATTTTTATGCATTTTGACCATCTTTTACACTACTTTTCTTAATCATTTTTGAACCATAGTTATTTTGAAGTCATTGTCTGCTTACTATTTACATCTACTTCTACTAACTCTTCTTCTGCTTCATTACAAGTTTGGTAAATTTTGACTTATACTGGATATTGCAAATATGTTGCAGAGCCCTGGCTTATATTATCTTTCTCAAAAGAGTGTTAAACGTTGTTCGGTAGTCAATTAAATTACCAGTGGTTCACCTTGATCCTGATGTTTTGGTTTTAGTCTTTATTAGGGTGGATTTATTTCAGTATTGCCCTTATGCTTGGAGATATATCTGTACTCCTAGGGCGTGACATTTCAGAGGTCTCAATGAATTGTCCCTTATGTTAATAAAGGACTCCTTCATTCTGGCTGGGTCTGAACTATGACTGGGTTTTAACTCTAATATCTCCCCAGAACTGTATGAGAGGAACTATGTACATGCTCTGAAATCTCCGCTTATCTCTTAACTTTCCAAGACCTCTTTTCTGCTGGTCTCTAGAAGTCTTGTTCTACACATACACAGAATTGGTTATGGCCAAGGATCCTAGAAATATATTTAACACAAACAATGTAGATAATAATTTGCATGTGGATGTTGCTTTGCATGTGGGGAAAGAGGTGCTATTCCGTAAATGCCAGTTTCAGGCATAAACAAAATGTTGTTGCTTCCCTTTTAATATAAACAAATAAGTTGATACACTAGTTACTCATTCCTGTATATACTTGATAAAGTAAGCCAGTTTTCTGGAGGTTGATTACTTAGCATAAAAAGAATATTACTTTTTAGAGTCTTCAAAGATAAGAAGTAGACTTTGTATTATGGTAAATTCATCATTTATTCAGCTAATAAAGTCTTTTAATACTGCAGACTGCTATTTACAAAATAGCATCTCTTACACATATCATACATACAATTTTTAGAGTTTAATGTTATAGGTCAGACATTCTTCTTGGCACTGAGAATGCAGCAGAAACCCCTCTCCCAAATCCCCAAGTTTCTAGTGATACAGACAGTAAACAAAATAAATGTGCGAAGTAAATACTATGAAAGATGGTTATGAGCAAGATTATAAGGTGAGACTAAGAAGAGTAATTGAGGCCTTAGAAAATAGAGTAGGGGACAAAAAATTGTTGTCTTAAAGAGTAAGAGAGTGAATGGAATAAAAAATTTTGGATGGCAGGCACACTGAAATTCAGAGGGGATGATTTTAAATTCAAATCAGCTAGCACAAATGTGAGTTTTTCTTCAGCGATATTTACATACATCTGATGCAGGCATATGTATATTCAACTTTTCGTAGAAATGAAAAATTGAGTTTTACTGGGGTTGGTGATTTTCTAATTATATGATGAAGTGATATAAACATGAGGCTGTTGAGAGTCTATTTGATAGAATGATAATAATGACTGTTGAATTTGATCTGAGTAAGGAGAGATGTCAGGATATAAGGGCATGAGGAAGAATGAAAATGTGATATGACACAGTGGATCTCCGTGAGTTGAAAAATTAATGGGTCACATGCAATAGCACGTCTTGGTATGAAACTGGTCTTCACCAAGAAACACCTCTGTCTCAAGAAGTGCCATTTCTTGTTTTAATATATATATATATGCTAATATGTTGATTAGCATATATCTCTTTATAAACAACATATATCAACCAAAGTCCATAGTTTACATTAGGTTCACTCTTGGCATTGTATATTCAATGGAGTTGGACAAATGTGTAATGACATTCTCACCATTATAGTGTCACACAGAGCAGTTTCACTGCCCTAACAATTTTCCGTGCTTCATCTCTTCATCCTGCTGTCCTCCTTAAACTCTGGCAACCATGGATCAATTTACTGTATAGTGTTGCTTTTTCCAGAATGTCTTACACTTGCAATTTTGCAGTATGTATCCTTTTCATATTGTCTTCTTTCACTTAGTTTATTTATCCTCTCACCTACTGAAAGATACCATGATTGTTTCTAAGTTTTGGCAAATATAAATAATTAAAGCTTCTATAAACATCCATGTGCAGGTTTTGTATGGCTGTAAGTTTTCAATTCCTTTGGGTAAATACCAAGGAGTGGGATTGCTGGGTTGTACGGTAGAAGTAGGTTTAGTTTTGTAAGAAACCACTAATCTGTCTTCTAAATTGACCATACCATTCTGCATTATGACCAGAAATAAATAAGAGTTCATGTTGCTTTATATCTTCTCCAGCATTTGGTGTTGTCAGTGTTCTGGATTTTGGCCATTCTAATAGATAGACATTGTTATCTTGTTATTGTTCTAATTTGTATTTCCCTGATTATATATAATGTAGAGCTTCTTTACATATGCTTATTTGTCATTATTATATCTTCTTTGGTGGGAAACTTGTTAAAGTCTTTGGCCCATTTTTTAATTAGGTTGTTCTTTTCCTTATTGTTGTGTTTTAAGAGTTATTTATATGCCTTGAATAACTCATGTCTTCATCAGATATGTCTTTTACAAATAGTTTTTCTCAGTCTGTGGCTTGTCTTTTTATTTTGTTTTTTGCAGAGCAGAAATTTTTAATTTTAATTACATCTAGCTTATGAATTCTTTCTTTCATGGATTGTCCCTTTGGTCCCTTTGTTGCTGTATTTAAAAAGTCACTGCCAAATCCATGGGCATCTAGATTCTTTTCTATGTTATATTCCAGGAATTTTACAGTTTTGTGTTTTACATGTAGGTCTTTAATATATTTTGGTTGATTTTTTGAAGATGTAAGGACTATGTCCAGATTTTTTTTTTAACATCTGGATGTCTAGTTGTTTCAGCACCATTTGTTGAAAAAGTATCTTTTCTCTGCTGTATTGCCTTTTCTCCTTTGTCAAAGATCAGTTGATTATTTCTGGCTCCTCTATTCTGTTCTATTGAACTATTTGGCTGTTCTTTCACCAATACCACACTGTGCTGATTATAGTAATTTTATAGTAAGTCTTGAAGTTGGGTAGTATCAGTATTCTAACTTTGTTCTTGTCCTTCAATAGTGTGCTGGCTATTTTGTGTCTTTAGCTTCTCTATATAAACTTTAGAATCAGTTTGTATGGAAACAGTTTCCACAACGTAAGTTGCTAAGACTTTGATTGGAGTTGCATTGAGTCTATAGACTAAGTTGAGAAAAACTGACATCTTGACAATATTGAGTTTTTCTATCCATGAACATGAAGTATCTCTTCATTTATTTAGTTCTTCTTTTGATAGTTTTTTCAATAAATGGTGCTGGAACAACTAGAGAAAATCATGTAGTTTTACTCATATAGACCTTGAACATATTTTGTTAGATGTTTACTTAAGTATTTTATTATTTTGGTGCTAATGTAAATGGTAATGTGTTCTTAAATTCAAATTCCACTTGTTCATTGCTGGTTTATAGGAAAGCGATTGACATATATTAACCTTGTATCCTGCAACCTTGCTATAATTGTTTATTAGTTGCAGGAGGGCATTTTTAGTCAATTCTTTTGAATTTTCTAATTAGACAATCATGTCATCTGTCAACAATGACAGTTACATTTTCATTTTCAATTAATGTATATTTTATTTCTTTTCTTGTTTTATTGCATTAGCTAGGACTTCCACCACAATGTTGAAAAGGAGTGGTGACAGGTGACATTTTTTGCCTTGTTTCTGATCTTAGTTACAAAGGCTCTAGTTTTCATTTTTAAGTATAAATTTTCCCGCAGGTTTTTTGGTAAATATTCTTTATCAAGTTGAGGAAGTTTGCCGCTATTCCTAGTTTAGTTGGTTTTTTTTAATCATTAAAGGGTGTTATATTTTATCAAATGATTCTTCTGCATCTACTGATATAATCATATGACTTTTCTTCTTTACCCTGTTGGTGTGATGGATTAGATTAATTTATTTTTGAATGTTGAATCAGCCTTGCATACCTGGCATAAATCCCATTTAGTCATGGTGTATAATTCCTTTTATACATCGCTGGATTTGATTTACTAATATTTTGTTGAGAATTTTTGCATCTTTGTTCATGAGATATATTGGTCTGTAGTTTTCTTTTCTTGTAATATCTTTGTCTGGTGTTGGTGTTAGGATAATGCTGGCCCCATAGAATGAGTTAGAAAGTGTTTCCTCTGCTTTTGTCTTCTGGAAGAGATTGTAGAAAGCTGTTACAATTTCTTTTTTAAATGTTTGGAATAATTCACAGTAAGCCCATCTAGTCTTTGTGTTTTCTGTTTTGGACAGTTATTAATTATTGATTCAATTTCCTTAGTAGACATAGGCCTGATCAGATTGCTTATTTCTTTTCGTGTGAGTTTTGACAGATTGTGTCTTTCAAGGAATTGATTCATTTCAACTAGGTTATATAATTTGTGGGCACAGAGTTGTTCACAGTATTCCTTTATTATTCTGTTAATGTCCATGATATCTGTAGTGATGTCTCATCTTTCATTTCTGATATTAGTAATTTGTGTCCTCTCTCTTTTCTTAATTAACCTGGCTTAGGCTTATTAATTTTATTGCTCTTTTAAAAGGATAAGTTTTAGTCTCATTGATTTTCTCTTATTATTTTCAATTTTGTTCACTTTTTAGTCTAATTTTTATGATTTCTTCCATTTCCTTTGGATTTAATTTTCTCTTCTTTTTCTAGTTTTTTTGGTGTAAAATTAGATGATTGATTTTATAGTTTTCTTTTTTCCTAACACATGCATTTAATGCTATAAATTTCCCTGTTAGCACTGTTTACACTGCATCCCACAAATTTTAACAAGTGCATTTTTACTTAATTAAAAATATTTTAAAATTTTCTGTTGATATTTCTTCTTTGGCCTATGTGTTATTTAGAAATATATGGTTTAACATCCAAGTATTTTGGGATGTTTCACCTATCTGTTAGTTATTGATTTCTACCTTAATTTATTTGTGGTATGAGAGAAGATATTGCATGATTTCTATATTTTGAGATGAGTTAAGGTTGTTTTATGTACCAGAATGTGGTGTATCTCGGTAAATGTTCCATGTGACAATGAGAAGAATCTGTATTCTGCTGTTGTTGGGTGAAGTAGTCTATAGATAACTGTTAAATCCAATGTATTAATGTTATCGTTGAGTTCAATTATGTGCTTACTGATTTTTGCTTGTTGAATTGGTTCATTTCTTTTTTCTTCTTCTTTATTTTATTTTGTTTTTTGACAGAGTCTTACTCTGTCATCCAAGCTACAGTGCAGTAGCATGATCTTGGCTCACTACAAACTCCACCTCCCAGGTTAAAGGCATTATTTTGCCTCAGCTTCCTGAGTAGCTGGTATTACAGGCGCCCACCACCACACCTGGCTAATTTTTGTATTTTTTTAGTAGAGACAGAGTTTTGCCATGTTGGCCAGGGAGGTCTTGAACTTCTGACCTCAAGTGACCCACCCACCTTGGCATTCAATGTGCTGGCATGAGCCACTGCACCTGGACATGAATCTTTTCATTTCTAATGAAAGTGTGTTGACGTATTCAACTATGATGGTGGATTCATCTATTTTTCTTTGCAGTTCTTTTAGTTTTACCTCACTTATTTTGACACTTTGTTGTTAGGTGCATACATGTTAGGAATTGGTATGTCTTCTTGGAGAATTTACCATTTATCATTATGTAATGGCCATTTTTAATCACTGATGGTTTTTTTTGCTCTGAAGCCTGCTCTTCTGAAATAAATACAGATACTCCCCCTTTCTTTTGATTGGTGTTAGCCTGGTATATTTTGCTCTATCCATTTACTTTTAATATATATGTGTCTCTATATTTAAAATGGGTTTCTTGTAGACAATATAGAGTTGGGTTTTTTGTTATTACCTACACTGACAAACTCTGTTTTTTAATTGATACATTTAGATCATTGACATTCAGAGTGTTGATGTAATTGATTTAATATTTACCATGTTAGTTGCTGTTTTCTATTTGTTGACCTTTCTTTCCCTGCTTAGCATATCAGTTATAATTATTTTTCAACATTTTGTAGTTGTTCCCCTAGAGTTTGCAATACATATTTACAACTAATCCAAGTTCACTTTTAAATAATACTTTATGAGTCCATTGGTGTGTGAATACCTTATAATAACAAATAATGGACTCATTTTTCTCATTTTTTTATTGCTGTCATTTATTTTACTCATAAGCATACATATATACATAATTGAATACGTTGTTCTATTATGCGTTTGTAATAATAAATGCAATTTTTTCGCTCATTTTGGAAAAATTATTTGTTAGATCAATTAAGAATAAGAAAAATGAAAGATCATATTTTATTTTCATTTATTCCTTTTTTGGTCATCTTCTCCTTTTTTTTTGTAGATCTGACTTTCTGACCTATATCATTTTCCTTCTCTCTGAAAAACTTCTTTTAACCTTTATTATAAGGTTGGTCTGCTGGCAACAAATCCCTTCAATTATTGTTTGTCTGAGAAAGTATTTATCCTTCACTTCTGAGTGATATTTTCACAGAGTAAAAAAGTTCTAGGTTGATGTTTTTCTTTTTTCCTCTCAAGACTTTAAATATTCCACTCTACTCTCTTTTTGTTAGCATGGTTTCTGAGAAGAAGCTAGATGTAATTTTTATCCTTTCTTCTCTATAAGTAAGAGGTAGGATTTTTCCCCCCTCTGGCTTCTTTCAAGAATTTTTCTTTATCTTTAATTTTCTAGAATTTGATTATGATATTCCTAGGTGCAGTTTTTTGCATTAATTTTGCTTGATGTTCACTGAGCATGCTGGATCTGTGGTTTGGTGTCTGACATTAATTTGGGATATTCTCAGTCATTACTGTGTCAAATATTTATCCATACCTTTCTCTTTTCTCCTTCTGGTACTCTCATCACATGCATGTTACCCCTTCCATAGTTATCAAACAGATTTTGGATATTCTGTTATGGTTTTTATTCAATCTTTGTCCTCTTTGATTTTTCAGTTTTGAAGGTTTCTATTGAGATAGCCTGAAACTCAGTGTCCTCAGCTGTGTGTAGGCTACTAATTAGCCCATTAAAGGTAGTCTTCATTTCCTTTACAATATTTTTTAATCTCAGTATTCCTTGTTTGGTTCTTTCTTAGAATATCAGTCTTTGTGCTTATACTGACCATAGTCTATTGCATGCTATCTACTTTATCCATTATAACCCCTAGCATATTAATCATAGTTTTAAAAAAATTCCCAGTATAATTCCAACATCCATACATATGTGAGTCTGGCCTATCTTGCTATACTTGCTCTATCTCTTCAGATTATATATTTACTTTTTATATGCTGTGTAATTGCTTTCTTGATAACCATATGTAATGTACTAGGTAAAATGGACTGCTGTTAGTAGCACTTTAGTAATGTGCTGGTAAGGTGTGGGGGGAGTGAAAGTGTTCTATTGTCCTGTGATTAGGTCTCTGCCTTTTAGTGAGCCTATGCCTATGGATTGTGAACCTAACAAGAGCATCTCAGTTTGTAACCCACCATTTTAGTTGGTACATGATGGCAAGAGTCAGCTGTACTTGGGTATTTTCTTTCTTTGAAATCAGTTAGGCTCTGACAAAACCTCAGCAGGATAGGCTCTGATTAAATAATTTCTCCTAAGGGAAGACTTTGTTAAGAACAGAATGCTTTGAAATATTTCAAGATGGTTCCTTTTTTTCTCTCCATGCTGGAAGCCTGAGGAGATTTATCTCCACTATTCACTGTGAGAACCTGGTAGAGCTCACAGCAACATACTGCAGTTTCATACTCATCAGATTAATAAACATTAAAAATTCTGATTAATAAACATGTGAGATGTAGAACAACAGAAATGCTCATCCACTTCTGGCTGGGTTGTAAATTCATACAAACACTTTAAAAAGCAATTTGGCAATTTCTAATTGAGTTGAAGACAACACTGATATCCCAGCCTAGACATACGCCCCAGAAAAATTCTCCCATATGTGCATAGGAATAATACATAAAATTTTTAGCAATGTTGTTTAAAATAGCAAAAATATGAGCACCAATGCATGCTGTCAGAGGGTCCACAAATAGGTACTAGTAATATATAAAGGTGCACAGAAGCAACAAATACCTAATGATTATCTCTGAGAAGTAAAGAAAAAGGTGAGATTTGTAAAGTTTACACAGGAATCAAATGTATCTGAAGTATTTTATTTCCTTAAAAGTGTTTGAAGCAAATCTGGGAAGTAGACACATGATATAATTTGGTTATTCTGCATACTTTCTGTGTGTTTAAATATTTCATCATTTTTTAAAAAAGATATATTCAACTAGGCTTCTGATCATCCATCTAAGGAAATCAGAAACTTATAGAGCAAGGTCACATCAACACTCAGAGAGGAAATCAAACAAATCTACTTTTGAAAAAGTCAGTGCTTTCTGGGTTACCACTGATTGTCTTAATGATCAAAACAGATTGTCATATAATCTTGATAATTACTGCATAAATAAGCAGAAGCCAATTGGAAATAATAGGTTTTGATATGTTTGCCAGTTCTTCCCTGGGTAAATCAAAGTCCAAACCAAATAGAAAAGTTTAAAGCATGTCCACGTGTCTTAAGACCTAAAAGAAAACATTTGATTTCTGTTTAGTCAAATAAGACCTTTTCTCCTTTGGCTTTTCCTCTTGCAGTGTTACATTGATAGTGCTTTTACTTCTTTGTAATGATTCACCAATAATACTTTAGGTTTTGAAAAGCAATTTCAGACAGACTGACAGTTCACTCCTTGAAAGCAACTTTTTAAAGCACCAGAACCATGATAATGAGCTCTGTAGTCTGAAGAAAGCACTCATGGCTTCTGGTTTCTGCTTCCAGCTTGGAAATTGCCACTCCATCCTAACAAGTAAAATGCTGAACAAACTGAAAAATCCATAAAAGAAGTGGGGTTAAAAGGGAAATCAGTGCCACTGAAGTTGGAGATGTAGGCAAATAGCAAAATAACAACTTAACATAAACAGATACCTCTTCAGGAACCAATACTGGGGTAGGAAAACCTGAACAGTAATTGACAAATTGTAGGAGGCTCAGTGTGGACAAATCTGAGAGATTAGAAACTCCAGAAGGGTCAATTATCAAGGGCCCTCACAATTTTGTGGGTTTTACTTTCTGGTTTCATTTGCATTTCTTTGATTACTAGTGAGGGAGTATATCTTTGCCTAGGTTTATTGGTTATTTAAACATTCTCCTCTGTAAATTTCTTTGCATATCTTTTGCTCATTCTCTTTTAGGTGATCTATTTATTTATTTTTAATAAATAAGAGTTTATAAAGTGTTATTTTGCTCTATATTGAATAATGTTCCTTTAAAATGTAGGTGCGCTACAAAATAGCTTTTTAAAAATTGGTTTATTTTAACTTTTCTTATGGTGTCTTCTATTGAAAAAAGGTTTTAAACTTTAATCTAGTTATTTATTTAGAGTTCCTTTCACAGCTTGTGTTTTCTGTGTCTTATTTAGGAAATTCTTCCTTAACCCTAAGTCATAAAGGTATTCTGTTTTTTTTTTTAAAGTTCTAAAATTTTGTTTGTGATATTGTCTGAACTCTGCCTAGAATTGATTTTTGCATGTAGTGTGAAATAATTAAAAATTTTTTGAATGGAGTTAACCATTTTTCATATTTTTGACAAATCCATTATTTCTTCCTGATTTATGATTCCTATACCTCTGTCAAAATTGAGTTTACTTATGCATAGGTCTGTTTGGGTATTACCTATTCTGTCGTATTGGCCTGTTGTCAATCTTTCCTCCCTTTGTCTCTGGTCTTACTTACTAAATATTTATGATAATTTTTAATATCTGGTGGAGTAAATCGTAGGATCTTTGTTCTTTAAAATTTGAATTTTAGCTATTCTTGACTCTATGACACTCCACATGAATTTTGGGTTTAATTTGTTAAGTTTTACACAAAACAACCATAATTTAGGGGAATTGAATCAATTTTACATATTAGTTTGAGAGAAAATTGATATCCTTAAATTTGTTCACATAGAACCATAGCATTGATTTCCATTTTTTTAGGTTGATAATGTTCATTAATTTCAACATTTCTCCATATATTTTATATATTTTTATTAGATTTATTTCTAAGAATTTTGTATTTTCTATTACAAATACTTTTTTTATTCCATTTTCTATTGTTATTATTGATATATAGTTATGATACTATTTTTTATTTCTTTATTTTTATTTTTTATTGTACTTTAAGTTTTAGGAGAGGATGTGGAGAAATAGGAACACTTTTACACTGTTGGTGGGACTGTAAACTAGTTCAACCATTGTGGAAGTCAGTGTGGCGATTCCTCAGGGATCTAGAACTGGAAATACCATTTGACCCAGCCATCCCATTACTGGGTATATAACCAAAGGACTATAAATCATGCTGCTATAAAGACACATGCACACGTATGTTTATTGCAGCATTATTCACAATAGCAAAGACTTGGAACCAACCCAAATGTCCAACAATGATATACTGGATTAAGAAAATGTATATGAAAATGGCCATAATGCCCAAAGTAATTTATAGATTCAATGCTACTCCCATCGAACTACCATTGACATTCTTCACAGAACTAGAAAAAACTACTTCAAAATTCACATAGAACAAAAAAGAGCTTGCATAGCCAAGACAATCCTAAGCAAAAAGAACAAGACAGAGGCATCACACTACCTGACTTCAAACTATACTATAAGGCTACAGTAACCAAAACAGCATGGTACTGGTACCAAAACAGAAATATAGACTAATGGAGCAGAACAGAGAGCTCAGAAATAACAACACACAACAAAAACCATCTGATTTTTGACAAACCTGACAAAAACGAGTAATGGGAAAGGATCTCCAATTCAAAAATGGTGCTTGAAAAACTGGCTAGCCACATGCAGAAAACTGAAACTGGATCCAGTCCTTAAACCTTATCCAAAAATTAACTCAAAATGGACAAAAAGCTTAAATGTAAATTCCCAAACCTTAAAAAACCTAGAAGAAAACCTAGGCAATACCATTCAGGACATAGGCATGAACAAAGACTTCATGATGAAAATGCCAAAAGCCATTACAAGAAAAGCCAAAATTAACTAATGGGATCCAATTAAACTAAACAGCCTCTGCACAGCAAAAGAAACTACCATCAGAATGAACAGGCAACCTACAGAATGAGAGAAAATTTTTTCAATCTACCTAACTGACAAAGTCTAATAGCCAGAATTTACAAGGAACTTAAACAAATTTACAAGAAAAAAATAACCCCATCAAAAAGTGAGCAAAGGATATGAACAGACACTTCTTGAAACAAGACATTTACACAACCAGCAAACATATGAAAAAAAGCTCAATATCACTGATCATTAGAGAAATGCAATTCAAAACCACAGTGAGATACCATCTCATGTCAGTCACAATGGCCATTATTAAAAAGTCAAGAAACAATAGATGCTGGCAGGGCTGTGAAGAAATAGGAACACTTTTACACTGTTGCTGGGAATGTAAATTAGTTCAACCATTGTGGAAGACAGTATGGCAATTCTTCTAGGATTGAGAACCAGAAATACCATTTGACCCAGCAATCCCATTACTGGCTTTATACCAAAAGGAATATAAATAATTCTACTATAAAGACACATGCACATGTATATTTACTACAGCACTATTTACAATAGCAAAGACGTAGAACCAACCCAAACGCCCATTAATGATAGACTGGATAAAGCAAATGTGGTACATATACTCCATGGAATACTATACAGCCATAAAAAGGAATGAGTTCATGTCCTTTGCAGGGACATGAATGAAGCTGGAAGCCATCATCCTCTGCAAACTAACAGAGGAACAGAAAATCAAACACAGCAGGTTCTCCCTCATAGGTGGGAACTGAACAATGATAACACATGGACACAGGGAGGGAACAACACACACACACCAGGGCCTGTTGGGGGATGGGGAGTAAGGGGAGGGAACTGAGAGGATGGGTCAATAGGTGCAAAAAACCACCATGGCATGCATATACCTATGTAACAAACCTGCACGTTCTGCACATGTATCCCAGAACTTAAAGTAAAATAAAATTCAAAAAGTAACTGTAATACTGTAATGGTGGTGTATATATTTTTGTTTATTTTTTATTATTATTTTGTTTTAGACAGAGTCTCACTTTGTCACCAGGCTGGAGTGCAGTGGTGCGATCTCAGCTTGCTGCAACCTCTGCCTCCTGGGTTCAAGTGATTCTCCTGCCTCAACCTCCCGAGTAGCTGGGACTACAGGTGCATGCCACCAAGCCCAGCTAATTTTTGTATTTTTAGTAGAGATGGGGTTTCACCATGTTGGCCAGGGTGGTCTCGATCTCTTGACCTCAAGATCCATCTGCCTCGGCCTCCCAAAGTGCTGGGATTACAGGCATAAGCCACCATGCCCGGGCATGTATATATCTTTTATATGTTTAATATGAAGGTTAAAAGACAAAATTATTAAAATAATAAAAGCTACATTATTTTGTTAAGGAAGACAATAAAAAATGCAAACTGTGACAAAAAATTTTAAATGTGGTGGGGGTGGAGGAATAATATAATTTTTTTCTCTTGAGACAGGGTCTCTTCTCACTCTGTTGCTCAGGCTTGAGTGCACTGCTGTGATCATAGCTGGCTAAGTTTTTGTATTTTCTGTAGAGACAGGGTTTTGCCATGTTTCCCAGTCTGGTCTTGGACTTTTGGGCTCAAGTGACCCGCCAGCCTCACCCTCCCTAAAGTGCTAGGATTACAGGTGTGAGCCACCACACCTGTCCTAAAAGTATAAATTTTGTATGCAAAGTTAAGCTGTTATCGGCTTAAAATAGCCTGTTATAACTGTAAGGTGTTTTCTATAAGCCTTATGGTAACCACAAAGCAAAAACCTATGGTAGATACACTAAAGATATAAAGTAAGAAATCAAAGCATACCACTAGAGAAAATCACCTAATCACAAATAAAAAATTTTAGAATATATTCAAATACATGGTAATTAAACAAGTTCTTGAATAGCCAATGAGTCAAATGAGAAATTAAAAGAGAAAATTTAAAATATCTTAAGACAAACAAAAATGGAAGCACAACGTACCAAAATTTATGAGATGAATCAAAGGCAGTTCTAAGTGGAAAGTTTATAGCAATAAATGCCTACATCAAAAAAGAATAAAAATCTTAAATAAACAACCTAGTTTCACGCTTCAAGGGAACTAGAAATTGAGATAACAAACTGAGCTTAAAGTTAGTGGAAGAAAAATCAATAACTAAGCAGCAATAAATGAAATAGAAAATAGAAAAAGAATAGAAAAAATCAAAGAAAGTAAGAGTTGCTTTTTTGAACAGATAAACAAAATTGACCAAACTTTAGCTAGCCTGGTACGAAAGACAACAATATCAAATAAAGAAAATGAGAATTTCAAGAGGAGCTATTACAACTGATACCACAGACTTACAGAGGATCATAAGAAACTGTTAAAAAAAATTATACACTAAGAAATTTGATTGTCTAGAAGAAATGAATAAATTCTTAGACACACACAACTTACCAAAACCGAATCTTAAGTAAACTGAAAATCCGAACAGACCAGTAAGGAGTAAGGAGATTGAACGAGCAATTTAAGAAACAAAAAAAAATCTTCCATTAAGGAAAAGTCCAGGATCTGATGGTTTCACTTCTGAGTTCTACCACACATTTAAAGAAATAATATCAATCCTTCTCAAATTTTTTCACAATATTGAGGGAGAAGGAATATTTCCACACTCATTTTCTAAGGCCATCATCACCCTGTTACTAAATCCAGGCAAGAACACTACAGGATAAAAATAATAATAATAATAGGCCAATATATCTGATGAACATTCATGAAAAAATTTTCAACAAAATTCTAGCAAATTGAATTCAGTACACATTAAAAGTATCATTCACCATGATAAAATGGGAGTTATCCTAGGGATGCAAGGATATTTTAACATATGAAAGTCTATAAATGTGATAATCACACTAATAGAATAAAGGACAAAAAATGTACTGTCATCTCAATAGATGCAGAAAAAGCAGTTGACAAAATTCAACATCTTTTCATAATAAAAGCTCTCAACAAATCAGTTATGGAATGAAAGTACTTCAACAAAATAAAGGCCATATATTGCAAAACCACATCTGACATCATACTCAATGGTGAAAAGCTAAACACTTTTCCTCTCAGATAAGAAACAAACAAGAATCTCATTCTCGCCACTTCTATTCAACACAGTACTAGAAATCCTAGCCAGAACAACTAGGCAAGGAAGACAAATAAAAGGAATCCAAATTGGAAAAACAAAAAATTAAATTGTCCCTGTTTGCAGGTAATATAGTCATATATGTAGAAAACCCTAAAATACCACCAAAAAACTAAAAGGACTAGTAAATCAATGAAGTTGCAGAATATAAAATTAATATAGAAAATATGCAGTGTTTTTATATATTAAAAACAAACTCTTCTAAAAATAAATTATTTTAAAAACATCCCATTTACAGTAGCTACAAAAAAATTAAAATACTTAGGAATAAGTTTAACCAAGAACTTGAAAGACCTATACAGAAAAGGCAAAACATTGATGAAAAAAATTAAAGAAGATACAAATAAATGGAAAGATATTCAATGTTCATAGATTGGAAAAATTGAAATATTTAAACAATTTAAATGTCTGTATTACCCAAAATGATCTACAAAGTCAACACAATCTCTATCAAAATTTCAATGACATTTTTCATAGAAATAGAAAAAGCAATATTAACATTTGTATGGAATCATGAAAAACCCCAAATAGACAAAGTGATGTTAAGCAAAAAGAACAAAGCTGGAGGTATCACACTACCTGACTTCAAAATGTACTACAAATCTATAGTAACCAAAACAATATGGTACTGGCACTAAAAATAGACACAGACCTAAAAACTTAATGGAGAACAGAAATAAATCCACACATTTATAGAAAGCTGATTTTCAATGAAGCTGCCAAGAACATACATTGGAGAATTTACAGTCTCTTCAACAAATGATGCTGTGAAAAGTGAATATCCATATGTAGTAGATTAAAACTAGACTCCTATCTGTCACCATCTACAAAAATCAATTCAAAATGTATTAAAGGCTCAAATGTGAGGTCTAATACTGTAAAATTCCTAGAAGAAAACATAGGGGGAAAGCTCCATGACATTGATCTTGGCAATGACTTTTTGGATATTACTTCAGATGTACAGGTAATAAAGGCAAAAATAGACAAATGAGATTGAACCAAACTAAAAAGCTTCTGCTCAACAAAGGAATCAACCAACAGAGTAAAGAAAGAACCTACAGAATGGGAGAAAATGTTTTCAAGCTATACATCTGCTAAGATGTTAGCCAAAATATACAAGGAACTCAAACAACTCAATAGCAAGAAAACAAATAACGCAATTTAAAATGAACAAAAGACCTGAGTAGACACTTTTCAAAAGAAATACAAATGGCCAAGAGATATAGGAAAACATTGTCTAACATCACTAACTATCAGGAAAATACAAATTAAATCCATGATGCAATATCACCTCACCCTGTATGTCAAAGAGATATCTGTATTATCCTGTTAATTGCAGCACTATTCAAATAGACAAGACATAGAATCAACCTAAGTGTTCATCAGTGAATGAATGGATAAGGAAAATGTAGTGTGTATATATATAATGTAATAATAAGTAAGACTTAGTAGTGTCCCCTTGCATATATATATTATATATATGCATATAATATATATTATATATGCGTATATATTATAGATAATATATATGCATATAATATATATTATATGCGTATATATTATATATTATATATGCATATAAATTATATATATATGCATATATAATATATAATATATATTACTTATGTGTATATATTATATATACTATATTATATAATATATATTATACAATATATATACACTACTATATACAATATATATACACTATTATACAATATATAATATTTATATTATATACATAATATATTATATATACTATATTATATATACACTATATTATATATACTATATAATATATATACATATATGATATATACTATATCATATATACACTATATATATTATATATACTATATAATATATATACACTATATAATATATATACACTATATATGATATAGTATATATCATATATATAATATGATATAGTATATATAATATATATATGCTATATATATTATATAGTATATATAATATACATGCTATATATACTATATATTATATATTATGTACATGCTATATATACACTATATATTATATATTATATATTATATATATACGCTATATAATATATTATATATTATATATACATTATATATATATTATATATTATATATAATATATATATACACTATATATATTATATATTATATATAATATATATATACACTATATATATTATATATATACACTACTCAGCCTTAAACAAAAAGAAAATCCTGTCATTTAGGACAACAGGGATGAACTTGGAGAACATTAGGTTAAATGAAATAAGTCAGGCACAGAAACACAGATACTGCATGATCTCACTTATATATGAAATTTATAAAAGTTGAACTCATAGAAGTAGAAAATAGAATGATGGTTATGAGAGGTTGGGGGTATATTGGGGTTGTGAAGATTTTGGCCAAAAGGTTTAAAATTTCAGTCAGATAGGAGAAATAACTTCAAGACAGCTACTGTAAAATATGTGACTATAGTTTATTACAATGTATTATTAAAAAACAGAATGAGTCAATTTCTCAGAATTTATGTAAACTAAATAACAATAGAATGAATATTTAAAGTGCTCTTTTAAAAGCCCTCCAAGATTTTGTAAAAAACAAAGACAAGACAAAGATGTTCTCAGACCAACACAAGCCAAAAGAATTTCTTTCCTGCAGCAGACACCCACAAAAGATCTACTGAACAAAATTCTTTAGGCTAAAGGAAATTATCACAGATATATAAGACGGAAGAAGCACTCTGGAAAATAAAAAGGTATATGTAAAAAACTGATTGCGGAAAAAGATATAATAACTTCTTGAAGGGTTTATAATAAGTATAGGTACAAACTATGTGAAAACAGAGCAAAATGATAGGAGATCAAAATAAATTAAACATTTAAAGATCTTTCAATGTTTTGATTTTGGTAAAAATACTAACATAAGTTAGATAGTAATAAATAAAGGATGGATTGCTTGATTTCCAGGATAACCACTAAAAAGAGATAGTATATTATGTAACAAACAAAGCCAATATATCACTAAAATAAAATATTAAAAATAGCTCAATATAAAAGAAAACAAAAAATAAAATAGGTACAAAGAGTAGATAAGGCATATGGGAAACAAAAAATAATATGGTATATTTAAACCTAACTATACCAGCAATTACATTAAATTAAAATCAACTAAATATTTCATTTAAAAGTTAGAGATTGTCTGACTGGATATATAAACAACATCCAATTATATGCTGTTCACAAGAAACATCTTACATTCAAAAAAACACAAAGATTTATAGAAAAGGATAAGAAAAGTTACAAAATGAAAACACTAAGAAAAATAAAGTCTTCGTGGCTATATTAAATCACACAAAGTAGGCTAAAGAGTATTATGAGGCAAAAAGTGAAATATTTTATAATGACAAAAGATTCATGGCAACAGAATGTAAAGTGATCTCAAATTCTATTCTTTTAATGATGTAGCTTCAAAATATTCAAAACCAAAATTTACAGAACTAAAATAAAAACAATTTATCATCACAATTGAAGACATTAACACAACTATCTTTTGGGATAACACATTCTTATGTGTTAATAGGAATAAGAATGTAACACATTCTTATTCTCCAGAGACAAGATGAGCTACATAATTTGTGGAACCCAGTGAAAAATGAAAATGAGGGCTCTATTACTTATAACTTATTAATAATTTGAAACCAGTGACAGAAGAGCATTACACCAAGCATAGGCACCTTCTAGGCATGGCATACCTGTGAAGCCAGCCTTGTCCATTGGTCTGCACATTTTATGAGCAGAGTCACTCACAGACTTTTATCTCAGGCTATCTTCCAAGGATTTTTGAAAGTGGAGCAGGAGGCAGATTTGTTTGCTGTACAGTATCATAAGAATACTATCTCCCTCTGTGGCAAAGGTTGGACAGGGTTGCTTGCAGATATTTATAAAATATTGGGATTTCCTAATCCAAGAGTCACTTTTGTGGGTTGTGAAACAAACCTATAAAATGTGCAGGATCAATCTAGGCCCACCTGTGTCACACTTATGGGGCTTGAAGGAACTGGGAAACCTTCCTGCCTTCTGTTCCATGAGTAATAAAGTCCTTTGCCTCTAATACAGAAGTCTCATGTCTTCTGCCAGCATCTATTATGGACTAAATTGTGCCCTCTCCCCTCAAATTGATATATTAAAGCCTTAACCCTCAATATGACTATACTTAGATATAGAGCCTTTGAGGGGCTGATTAAGGTTCAATGTTATAAGGGTGGAGCTCTAATCCAACAGGACTGGTGTTCCTTATAAGAATAGAAAGAGACACCAGGAGAGTGCAGGCACAGAGAAAAGTCCATGTGAGGACACCGTAATAAGGCATTTGTCTACAAGCCAGGAAGAGAGGCCTAGTCAAAAACTAACCCTGCCAGCACCTTGATCTTGGATTTCTAGCTTACAGAACTTTGAGAAAATATATGTATATTGTTTAAGCCACCAGTCTGTAATATTCCATTATGGCACTCCTCACAATTAATGCAGGATTGATGAAACTGTGGCAGGTTACTTGCTATATTATGAGTAGAATAGAATAAAATGTCAGCCCTTCGCTGTTCTTGACACTATCTCAAGAGATGATAAAACAGACAAACTAAATCAGTAACAATATAAAAGCTTTGAACAAAACAATTAACCAACTGGACTTAATTAACAGATACAGAACATTACATTCAACAACTACAGAAATAAATACAAAACAATACATTATTTTGAAATGTATTCTGAGCCATAAAGTAGGTTTCTACAAATTTCAAAGAATTGAAATCATAAAAAGTATCTCCTATGGCCAACATGGAATTAACTTATGGAATGAGAATGAAAGATAACTAGAAAAATAATAAAAGCACAGCATATCAGAATGTGTGGCATGCACCACATACAATGCTTAGAGGGATATATATTGCTTTACATGTAAATATTAGAAAAGAAGAAAGATTTAAAATTAATGATCTATACTTCTAACTCAAGAATCTGGAGAAAGGAAAGCAAAATAATTTCAAAGAAAGTAGAAGGATAAAAGTAATAAAAACAAATGGTGAAATCAATAAAACAGAAAAGTCAACAAGGTTTTCTCTTTGACTTTTTGAAAATATTAATAAAATTAATAAATAGCAAGAGGAAGGTAACACAAACGACCAATATAAGGGGGCATCCCTACAGATCTCAAGTACATCAAATGGATAAGAGGAGATTATTAACAACTTTATGCCAATAGATTTATTAACTTAGATATAGTGTACACATTACCAAAACTGACTCAAAAGGAGTGGAACATCTGTATAGTCCTATATCAATTAAATAAATCAAATCCGTTATAAAAAATAATCTTCTCATAAAATCTCCAGGTGTAGATGATTTTACTGATTAATTCTTTCTACTATTTAAAGAAGACATAACACCAATCTTACATGTGCTTCCAAAGAATAGAAAAATAGGCCAACTTCCAACTCATTTTATGAAGCCATCAAACCCTTGATACAAAAAACCTGAAGAAGATTCATAAGAAAAGAAAATATGTACCAATATTTTTTACTAATATAGTTATGATTACACTCAATATAACCTTAGATAACAGAATCTAGTTTTATATAAAATGATAATACAGGAGGGGCCAAAATGGCCGAGTAGATACAGCTCCTATCTGCACCTCCCACTGAGACAAACGTAAACGGTGGGTGAATCTGCATTTCCAACTGAGGTACCCAGATTCTCTCATTGGAACTGACTAGGCTGTTGGTGGGGCCCACGGACAGCAAGGAAAAGCAGGGTGGGGCGATGACGGTTCACCCCGGAGCTGGAGCTGCACGGGGTAAGCAAAGGGACCTCCCTCCCCAAGCCAAGGGAGGTGGTGAGAGATTGTGCTATCCTCCCAGAGAACTATGCTTTTCCCACATATTTTTGCAATCTGCGGATCAAGAGATTCCCTTGTGTTCTCAAACCACCGGGGCCTTGGGTCCCAAGCACAAAGCTGTGCAGACCCATGGCAGCTGCTGGGGTCCGCGGCCGCTCAGACAGGCACTGAGCTGCAAGAGGTTTGGCATACTACAGAAGCTCCAGGAACTCCAGTGAGGCAGGAGATCTGTCCACTCTCTTGGGAATGAGGCTGAAGCCAGGGAGCCAACCAGCCTCGCTCAGCAGGTCCCCGTCTCCTGGAACTCCGCACGCTAAAACCCACTGGCTTGGAATCCCCGCGGGCCAGCACAGCAGCCTGGAGTCTGCCTAAGATGACTGAGTTCCCGGGAGGAGGGGCGACCACCATTACTGAGGCTCTAGTCTGCGGTGTTTCCCTGCCAGTTGATAGAGAGACCGTGAGGTTTGGACAGGGTGGAATTCCCCACAGTGCAGCACAGTGGCTGTGGCAGATTGTGGCCAGACTGCTTCTTTAGGTAGAAGCTGGATCCATACCTCCTCACCGGGCAGGGCCTTCCTGCAGGAATTCCAGCAAATGCAGCCAGAGGTTTACAGACAGAACTCTCATCTCCCTGGGTCAGAGCACCTGGGGGAACGGGACTTAATCTTTCCTGCCTACTGGCTCTGAAGAGTCCAGGCAATCCGGATGAGAGGGATTCCCCACCGCCCAGCGCACCTACACCGCTTAGGGGCAGCCAGACTGCTTCCTTAAGCAGGTACCTGATCCGGTGCCTCCTGACTGGGTGAGACCTCCGAACAGGGGTCAACAGACACTTCATACAGGAGAATTCCTGCTGGCATCAGGTCAGTGCCTCTCTAAGAGGATGCTTCAGGAGGAAGGAGCAGGCAGCAATCTTTGCTGATCTGTGGCCTCCACTGGTGATACCCAGGAGAACAGGGTCTGGAGTGGACCCCCAGCAAACTGTAGCAGACTTGCAGAAGAGAGGCCTGTTAAAAGAGAAACAAACAAACAGCAATGATAACAACAACAACATCAACAAAAAAGACCCTCCCACAAAAACCCCATCCAAAGGTTAACAGCCTCAAAGATCAAAGGTAGATAAATCCAGGAAGATGAGGAAAAACCAATGCAAAAATGCTGAAAATTCCAAAAGCCAGAATGCCTCTTCTCCTCCAATGATCACAACACCTCTCCAGCAAGGGCACAGAACTGTGCTGAAGCTGAGATGGATGAACTGACAGGAGTAGTCTTCAGAAAGTGGGTAATAACAAACTTCGCTGAGCTGAAGGATTATGTTCTTACCGGATGCAAAGAAGCTATGAACCATGATAAAAGATTACAGGAGCTGTTAACTAGAATAACCAGTTGAGAGAGAAACATAAATAACCTGATGGAGCTGAAAAACACAGCACGAGAACTTCATGATGCAAACACAAGTATCAACAGCCTAATCAACCAGTGGAAGAAAGACTATAAGAGCTTAAAGACTATCTTGCTGAAATAAGGCAGGCAGACAAGACTAGAAAAAAAAAAGACTGAAAAGGAACAAACAAAACCTCTTGAGAACCATGGGACTATGTAAAAAGACTGAACCTACGACTGATTGAAGTACCTGAAAGATGTGGAGAATGGAACCAAGTTGGAAAACATACTTCAGGATATCATCCAGGAGAACTTCCCCAACCTATCAAGACAGGCCAATCAAATGCAGAAAATCCAGAGAACCCCAATAAGATACTCCATGAGAAGATCAACCCCAATACACATAATCATCAGATTCTCCAAGGTTAAAATGGAAGAAAAAATGTTAACAGAAGTCAGAGAGAAAGGCCAGGTCACCTACAAAAGGAAGTCCATCAGACTAACAGCAAACCTCTCAGCAGAAACTCTACAGGCCAGAAGAGATTAGGGGCCAATATTTAACATACTTAAAGAAAAGAATTATCAACCCAGAATGTCATATCTGGCCAAACTAAGGTTCATAAGTGAAGGAGAAATAAAATCGTCTTCAGACAAGTAAATGCTGAGGTGTTTTGTCACCATCAGGCCTACCTTGCAAGAGCTCCTGAAGGAAGCACTAAACATGGAAAGTAAAAACCATTACCAAACCACTACAGAAACACACTGAAGTACATAAATCAACAACACTATGAAGCAACTACATTAACAAGCCTGCGAAATGAACCAGCCGACATCATATACAAGGACACACATAGGCTCAAAATGAAGGGATGGAGGAAAATTTACCAATCAAATGGAAAACAGAAAAAAAGTAGGGGTTGCAATCCTAGTTTCTGGTACCAAAACCTGGCAAAGATACAACAGAAAAAAAAAAAAAGAAAACTTCAGGCCAATATTCCTGATGAACTTTGATGCAAAAATTCTCAATAAAATACTGGCAAAATAAATCCAGCAGCACATCAAAAAGCTTATTCACCATGATCAAATCAGCTTCACCCTTGGGGTTGCAAGCCTAGTTCAAAGTATGCAAATCAATAAACATAAAATTCATCACATAAACAGAACTAAAAACAAAAACCACATGATTATCTCAATAGACTCAGAGAAAAACCTTCAATAAAATTCAACATCCCTTCATGTTAAAAAGTCTCAATAAACTAGGTATTAAAGGAACATACCTCAAAATAATAAGAGCCATTTATGAAAAACCCACAGCCAATATCATACTGAATGGGCAAAAGCTGGAAGCAGTCCCCTTGAAAACTGGCACAAGACAAAGATGCCCTCTCTCACCACTCTTATTCAACATAGTATTGAAGTTCAGGCCAGGTCAATCAAACAAGACAAAGAAATAAAAGGTATTCAAATGGGAAAGAGAGGAAGTCAAATATTCTTTGTTTGCAGATGACATGATCCTATATCTAGAAAACCCCATTGACCCGGCCCAAAACCTTCTTAAGTTGCTAAGTAACTTGAGCTGAGTCTCAGGACACAAAATTAATGTGCGGAAAACACAAGCATTTCTATGCACCAACAACAGACAAGCAGAGAGCCAAAACATGAATAAACTCCTGTTCACAATTGCCACAAAGTGAATAAAATACCTAGGAATACAGCTAACAAGGGAAGTGAAGGACCTCTTCAAGGTGAACTACCAACCACTGCTCAAGGAAATCAGAGAAAACACAAGCAGATGGAAACATTCCATGTTCACAGATAGGAAGAATCAATATCGTGAAAATGGCCATACTGCCTAAAGCAATTTATAGATTCAATGCTATTCCATTAAACTACCATTGACATCCTTCACAGAATTAGAAAAAACGACTATTTTAAAATTCATATGGAACCAAAAAATAGCTCATATAGCCAAGACAATCCTAAGCAAAAGAACAAAGCTGGAGGCATCATGCTACCCAACTTCAAACTAGGATACAGTAACCAAAACAGCATGATACTTGTACAAAAACAGGCACATAGACCAATGGAACAGAATAGAGAACTCAGAAATAATACCACACATCTACAACTATCTGATCTTTGACAAGCCTGACAAAAACAAGCAATGGGGAAAGGATTCCCTATTTAATAAATGGTGCTGGAAAAACTGGATAGCCATATCCATAAAACACAAACTGGACCCCTTACTTATACCTTATACAAAAATTAACTCAAGGTGGTTTAAAGACTTAAATGTAAAACACAAAACTATAAAAACCCTAGAAGAAAATCTAGGCAATACCATTCAGGACATAGGCATGGGCATACTAGAAATAGCCAGAAATTTTCTTAATGTGATAAAGGTTATCTACGAAAAAAGTTAATGATCTATATAACATGGTAAAATATTGACCATTTTCTCCTCCTGAGAATGGCAAGAACACAAGATGTCTACAGCCTCCAATCCTATTCAAAATTTGAGAACCTAACTAGTTTAATAAAGCAATAAAAAAGGAAAAAGATTGAAAAATAATTAGTAAAATTGTAATTATTCACAAATGATATGATTTTATACATAGAAAGTTCAAATTAATTCTCAAACTATTAGAGATAGTAAGTAAATTTAGGAAAGCTGCTGGATATAAGACCAACATACCTTGTTTTATGTTTATCCCAAGAAGGCAGAATGTTACCTTTCCCAATCTATAGGTAGGATGTTGATGCCAATGGCACTCCACATAACTAAATAATTTGGAAGAAAACTTGTTATTCACACAAGGGACTCCTGAAATGGGAGGGAGGGAGGGTACAAGCAGGTCTGGGCAGGCCTCTGTGGGTTGGGTCTATATAGTAGCTAGGGGGTGGGACTGTAGAAATAGTCCCAATTGACAGCCGGGGATTTGCCAGCTTTGAATTTCCCACATGTGCCATAAAAGGACATTCACTTGGGCTTTCTTACCAATCTGTCCTGATATGGAGCAAAAGGGAAAAGGGAGGTGGGGTTTATAAGAAGTCAGAAGTCAAACATGAAAACATGGAATCAGACTCTGTGCTACATAACCCAAATAAATCATATACTTATATACCAGTAAACGTCACTTGGAAAATGAAATTTAAAAGAAATACGTTTTATAAGGTCATCAAAATGCATCAAACACCTAGGGAGAAATATAGCAAAAGATTAAAAGATGTTCATTCTTTGAAAACTACAAAGCATTATGGAGGAAAATTTTAAAAGAATTTAATAAATAGAGGGATATGCTATGTTAATGAATGTTATGATTCATTGTTGTTAAGATGTGAATTCTTGCCAAATTGATCTATAGATGTCATTTAATCCCATAAAAATCCCAACAGGTGTTTCATGGAGACTGACAAAACTACTAATGAATATAGAATCTGAGTCAGAGGATTTAGCTTGGTTATCATGATAGCAGGTATTATAATATTAAACTGAAATTACCTGTTGAATTCATCCCATGATGGGAAACAGAGCTTCCAGAAGAAACAAACACAGTTTTTGAAGATTAATGTACACTTTCTTCTGCAGACACTGCTGAAGATGCTGTGTCCATGTTTCTACTTCAACTCTTTTCTCTTCTTCCAGGGTGGCCAATCTCCCCCATTTGATTGATATAATAGTCCCTTTTAAACCAGTATGATATATTGATCCCCTTTAAGCCAGTATGTTATGCTCCACAAACTCAGGGTGCAAATGAGATCACATTGAATTTTAATGAATAGCTTAATCTCTTCCCCCATCCTTAATCTTATTATCAGGGGAAAAAAGAGTCTCTCTTTTCAGGTTTTTCGTCTCCCCGCCCACTCCCAAATTATCGAATAACTTTTGAGCACACTGTATGCAAACAGTTCTTCCAAAAACAATGCAAGGCAAGGAGTGAACTGGAGGTTGCCATTGCTTTTTCTTCTGGCTTCCATGTGGTACACCAGCACAAATGTGATCCTGCAGCCAATGTGCCCATGATTGCTTGGACCCCATGAGAAGGTTTACACCCAGGCTGCAGAAGAGCCTACAAAGGTTGTAATATGTTTAAATTTATAATCCAGTGCTCAGCTAGTATTCCCCAAGTATATTCACTTTGCAGAAAAAATTGGTTTGGAGAATCTTCTAGCATCAGAAATAGATTGTGCTCAACTCAGAACCCCCATCATATCTTTATACCATGGTGTGGGCCTGATTTACTAACCTAAGCAACTACTTACCTAACCCCCACTATTGACTCACCACATTTTCTCACCTCCTCCTTCCATTTCCTTGAACAAAAACAATGTTTTTAAAAAGTGCTCTTCAGAGTGCAGTCCAGGAACCTGCAGCATCAATTTCACCTGGGAGCTTGTAGGAACTACAGATTCTCATGTCGAGTTCCTAACCTTCTGAATAAGAAACCCAAGGGGTGGGACCTAGGAGTATGTGTTTAACAAGCTTTCCAGGTGATTCTTTTTCACAATGAAGCTTGCCTAGCACTGTTTAAAGGTGATTTGATATCTCTGCCTACAATGAGACAGGTTTCTTCATAATTTCAAACAGGTTACAGTTCTCACTATGTCAAGTCCATTCTATTTCTTTACCTACCAATTTCTGCTCTGTATAACTCTTCAATGCTCTTAGCCATTGGAAGATTTGGAAAGTACAACCAGTTTCTGAAAGAAAACCTTACATTAGAGAAACATACACTCATGGAAATCCAAGGGATTGTGCAACAGAAAGTGACCCTTTACCCTGTAGTCACCTATCAGTCTAAACTGAGTCATTTTGGTGTGAGGGATAGAAGCCATAATTCTTTTTTTTTAATATATATATTTTTATTATACTTTAAGTTCTAGGGTACATGTGCACAACGTGCAGGTTTGTTACATATGTATACATGTGCCATGTTGGTGTGCTGCACCCATTAACTCATCATTTGCATTAGGTATATCTCCTAATGCTATCCCTCCCCCATCCCCACACCACAAAACAGGCCCCGGTGTGTGATGTTCCCCTTCCTGTGTCCATTTGTTCTCATTGTTCAATTCCCACCTATGAGTGAGAACATGCGGTGTTTGGTTTTTTTGTCCTTGCGATAGTTTGCTGAGAATGATGGTTTCCTGACTTTTTAATGATCGCCATTCTAACTGGTGTGAGATGGTATCTCATTGTGGTTTTGATTTGCATTTCTCTGATAACCAGTGATGATGAGCATTTTTTCATGTATTTGTTGGCTGCATAAATGTCTTCTTTTGAGAAGTGTCTGTTCATATCCTTTGCCCACTTGTTGATGGGGTTGTTTGTTTTTTTCTTGTAAATTTGTTTGAGTTCTTTGTAGATTCTGGATATTAGCCCTTTGTCAGATGAGTAGATTGCAAAAAATTTCTCCCATTCTGTAGGTTGCCTGTTCACTCTGATGGTCATTTCTTTTGCTGTGCAGAAGCTCTTTAGTTTAATTAGATCCCATTTGTCAATTTAGACTTTTGTTGCCATTGCTTTTGGTGTTTTAGACATGAAGTCCTTGCCCATGCCTATGTCCTGAATGCTATTGTCTAGATTTTCTTCTAGGGTTTCTATGGTTTTAGGTCTAACATTTAAGTCTTTAATCCATCTTGAATTAATTTTTGTATAAGGTGTAAGGAAGGGATCCAGTTTCAGCTTTCTACATATGGCTAGCCAGTTTTCCCAGCACCATTTATTAAATAGGGAATCCTTTCCCCATTTCTTGTTTTTGTCAGGTTTGTCAAAGATCAGAGAGGTGTAGATGTGTGGTATCATTTCTGAGGGCTCTGTTCTGTTCCATTGGTCTATATCTCTTTTTTGGTACCAGTACCATGCTGTTTTGGTTACTGTAGCCTTGTAGTATAGTTTGAAGTCAGGTAGCATGATGCCTCCAGCTTTTTTCTTTTGGCTTAGGATTGACTTGGCAATGCAGGCTCTTTTTTGGTTCCATGTGAACTTTAAAGTAGTTTTTTCCAGTTCTGTGAAGAAAGTCATTGGTAGCTTGATGGGGGTGGTATTGAATCTCTAAATTACCTTGGGCAGTATGGCCATTTTCATGATATTGATTATTCCTATCCATGAGCATGGAATGTTCTCCCATTTGTTTGTATCCTCTTTTATTTCATTGAGCAGTGGTTTGTAGTTCTCCTTGAAGAGGTCCTTCACATCCCTTGTAAGTTGGATTCCTAGGTATTTTATTCTCTTTGAAGCAATTGTGAATGGGAGTTCACTCATGATTTGGCTCTCTGTTTGTCTGTTATTGGTGTATAAGAATGCTTGTGATTTTTGCACATTGATTTTGTGTCCTGAGACTTTGCTGAAGTTGCTTATCAGCTTAGAGAGATTTTGGGCTGAGACGATGGGGTTTTCTAGATATACAATCATGTCATCTGCAAACAGGGACAATTTGACTTCCTCTTTTCCTAACTGAATACCCTTTATTTCTTTCTCCTGCCTGATTGCCCTGGCCAGAACTTCCAACACTATGTTGAATAGGAGTGGTGAGAGAAGGCATAACTGTCTTGTGCCAGTTTTCAAAGGGAATGCTGCCAGTTTTTGCCCATTCAGTATGATATTGGCTGTGGGTTTGTCATAAATAGCTCTTACTATTTTGAGATACGTCCCATCAATACCTAATTTATTGAGAGTTTTTAGCATGAAGGGCTGTTGAATTTTGTCAAAGGCCTTTTCTGCTTCTATTGAGATAATCACGTGGTTTTTGTCTTTGGTTCTGTTTATATGCTAGATTACATTTACTGATTTGCATATGTTGAACCAGCCTTGCATCCCAGGGACGAAGCCAACTTGATCATGGTGGATAAGCTTTTTGATGTGCTGCTGGATTCAGTTCGCCAGTATTTTATTGAGGATTTTTGCATTGATGTTCATCAGGGATATTGGTCTAAAATTCTCCTTTTTTGTTGTGTCTCTGCCCGGCTTTGGTATCAGGATGATGCTGGCCTCATAAAATGAGTTAGGGAGGATTCCCTCTTTTTCTATTGATGGGAATAGTTTCAGAAGGAATGGTATCAGCTCCTCCTTGTACCTCTGGTAGAATTCGGCTGTGAATCCGTCTGGTCCTGGACTTTTTTTGGTTGGTAAGCTATTAATTATTGCCTCAATTTCAGAGCCTGTTATTGGTCTATTCAGAGATTCAACTTCTTCCTGGTTTAGTCTTGGGAGGGTGTATGTGTCGAGGAATTTATCATAATTCTTGAATGGACTGCCCTCTGCTCTCCATTGCAATTCTCAGTCTCTCTTTTAAAAAATCCTCCTTCCCTCTGCCATGCCCTGCCTCCTCATTTCTCCCTATATACATTCAAAGTAATTAATATCATTTGTAATACAATCTGCCACAAGGAACCCAGGAATACTTGGTAAATCATAAAGCTGGCATTTCTAATTCTCTCTATATTTTGCTCTTGGTTTTAGAGTATAGCATTTTGGACAGCATTGTGCATTTTAAAAGAGTTAGGGAAGGGATACAAGCACATATATAAAGATGTTCAGTTTTGAGAGTATAATATAAATGACAAAATTTTAAAACCTGTAGTTGTTGGAGAGCCTGAGGATGGATATGAGGAGAAGGGCGCCAGCAGGGAAGAAATCCTTTCAGCACTCTTAGCCTTAACCATAGAAGCGAACAGAAGGGATGTTCTTGCAACAGTCTTGGAAAAAACCGCCTTCTCCATGGATTGTGAAGGACCAGGTTCCTTGAACATTATGTTCTGGCTTTCTTCTGTTTCTGGTGCGATTTAACACACAGAAAAGCCCAAAAACCCAGAAGTATTAAAAAATGTCCCATATGAAGTTAAAAACAGATTAAATTTTCCTTCTTTGGTTTCACCAATGCTTTAGTTTTTTAAAAGTAGAGAAAATTTTTCACTGACTTAAAGGAGGTTTGCAAAACTTTCCTCATTTCTCTACTCACAGGGACAGACACTATTGAAGTAGCCTCTGCATTTCTTAATACAGAGTAAAGCCCCCTCTTCCCTCCCACCTCCATCCCTCCATCTTACTCTGCTCTCCACCAGAAGGCTGTTTGGCAAATTACAAAGAATAATGTGGTCTTTTCTGACAGTTTGGCTTGGGAGCCCCAAATGTAAACTCACATCAATGCTACCAATGAAGGATTTTACTCATTTTAAAGTACTTATTTTCTTTTATTCAAATACACTTTTTATGACATGTAATACACCAAGAGGAAGTGGAATAAGTTTATTTCAGAAGAGAGATTTACATGACTGCCTCTACATTAAAAATATTAAAAATTACTCTGTCTAAAATTCCCATTTAAAACTGTATTCATTTGTGCATATCCAACCCCCAAAACGTCAAGGTGTATGTGGGTGTGCGCGTGTTTATGGTTATGTGGGTCTGGATTGTTTAGAGAGAGGTTCCACTTCACCATTGCCACCCACTTTGTCTCGAAACCGAAGGTATTCTGAGGTGCCCCTGGTTACCTGGAAGTGAATTCACCATACTTCAGTACCAGCACGTCTCTCTTCAAAATGTGGCTCAGGAGTCACTAAAGGAAACCACACAGTGTTAAGACTAAACATTCTTGAGTAAGCCTCAGTTATGGCAAATTCAACAGCCTGGCCGTTGAGAGAGCAGTTACCGAAATTTTCCAAATAAATAAAGCAAACAAGTTACTTCAGGAAGAAGTTCACATCTATATGATTTATAATACTGGGAGTTGGCCCATTGAGGCAAGAGGAACCCAGTGAACCAGCAGTAAACCAGAGGCCACCCAGGCACTCAGGATGCCTCCAAGATTTTAGTTCATGTTCAATCACCTACTGAATCCTCACTAGGAGGTATTCTGTTTAGGGAGGTGACAGCGTCTTATAACATCTTGCAGGACTTACTGGCTTGAACTTTATCATTCAGCCTCTAAATGGGTTAAGATTAACAGGAAAAAAAATAGGGATCCTATTTAGAGGCTTCTGGCAGCAAGCTAATAGAGAAAAAAAAAATGCCCCTCCAAAATCAATGTTTGCTTTGCTGAGGGCCTCCTTAGGTGTACATTGGAAACAATTCTGTCTGTCTACCACAGTTAAGTCACCCTGCAGCCTCCTATGCCAGCCAGGAGTACTTAGCAGTCCAGAATCAACAGGTTGCTGCTGTTGAGCAGTACCAGAACACAGGGGCAAAAACGAATGGAAAATGTTATATGTGACACAGCAGCCTTGATGGATGAAGATGATAAAAGATGAGCAGCACCCTGGGGAGTCCTGCCTCTCTGACCCCCTATCCACTGACCTCAAACTGGGCACCATCTCCAAGGATCATTTCCAGTCATTAGGGCTACTGCTCTGTAGCTGGTCTCCATATGTCATTCTCAGGCACTTCCAAATTAAAGCACCCACACCCACGTGCATTCACACACACACACACACACACACAACATAATATCTACCTATCTATAGATATAGATATAGATATAGATATAGTAGGAGGATATGTATTGATGGAGAAATCGAAACATACTTCCTGCAAATGGACTGGCCATTAACTAATAATACAACCCAATTGTTCAGTCTCAGTATTTTATTCAGATTATGAAGTGGCTATTAAATTAAATATTAAAATAGCTTATCCCAAAGTAGCAAAATAAACTCTATTAGTCTAATACTATGATAGAACTCTTTAATCAGTTAATTACATTAACAATTTACCTTCTTATTATTAACACTAAGTTGATAACAGGACACAGAGTTTCTAAGCTCCCAGGCAGGGAGGTTCTGTCATTGGTTGAGCTTTATATTAATATATTTATGCTATTTTTATAAAACTGATAAGCAACCAAACAATAAGTTGTACTTTACAGGGAAGTAGTGTTATAAGTATAGACAATTAAGAAATATTTATAAACATTTTAAATAACATTCCAAATATTTATCTCAGTGAAAGAGTCTTTGAGCGTGACAAATACATGTGTATATCTTGGAACATGTCAGAGATAGATAGATATGCATAAGTCATTGGTTATTTGTCATTGGTTATTTGTCTTTCTATGACACTGCGGTTACATGACATTCAACAGGCAGGGAGAAATAAGATAGGCTATAAAGATGGAAGAAATAGTATTTTAAAGCAAGACAAAATAATGATTATGAAGAAAGAACCAAGAACAATAAAACCAGAAAATGGAAGCATTTATGAAAAGAAAGCCTAAGTATCAAAAAGATTTTAAAGAAGCTGAATATTTTTTAATGGCACAAGAGAATATATGTTTTGAAAGATAATAAATATTTTTTGATACATAAGACAGGAACAAAACTTACCAAATTAGTATAACCTATGAATATGGAGAAAACTAAAACAAAAAATGTCTCTTTGTGAGAGTATAAATCATGAGAAAGCCCTTATAGATAAAAAAGATTGAAAAGCAAAAAGTATGACAATGTCAGAATATTTTACAAATTTTAATGAAACAGATGAAGAATATGGAAAATGGAAAGGACTAATCTGAGAAATGAAAATTCTAAAGCAGAACTGACAAATCAAAATCAGAGTGTATGGTCTTTTCTTACAACTGTATTTTCTTTAAAAAGGGTTGATAAAAGTTTACTTTAGTTCATTGAATTAAGGAACCTAAAAAGACAGAAGGTTAGGAAACAATTTTAGAATAAATAAGATCCTTTTGGATTGAATACAAAATCCCCAACTAGAATCACTGCAGCATTATACAATCTGCACCTTTTAGATAAAGCCATTGTAAGAAGCAAGTGTTGTGAGATCTAGTCAATAATAGGAAGATTTCCTTATACAATGTCGAGCAGAGTTTCTAAATGGTCCTTTGTAGACAGACACATAGCATGAGCAAGAAATAAATCTTTGTTGTTATAAGCCCCTGAGGTTTAGTTTTCTTGGACAGCAGCAGAACCTGGCCTATTCTCACTGATACAGTGAAGGTAAAGAATAAATATGTTTCCTATGAAGTATTCTTTTTTTTTCTTTTTGAGATGGAGTCTCATTCTATCGCCCAGACTGGAGTGCAGTGGCGTGATCTCGGCTCATTGCAATCTCTGCCTCCTGGGTTCAAGCAATTCTACTGCCTCAGCCTCCCAGGTAGCTGGGATTACAGGCACCCACCACCACACCCAGCTAATTTTTGTATTTTTAGTAGAGATGGGGCTTTGTCTTGTTGGCCAGGCTGGTCTTGAACTCCTGACCTCAGGTGATCTGCCTGCCTCAGCCTCCCAAAGTGCTGGGATTACAGGTGAGAGCCACCATACCTGGCCTCCTATGAAGTATTCTAACTGCAGTTATTATATAGCCAAGGCCAGATTTAGCCATATATATATATATACACACACACAGGTGACCCTTAAAAACACGAGTTTGAACTGTGCAGGCCTAATTATATGCAGATTCTTTTTCAATAAAAGCTACACCAAGTATGCGTGCCTCTCCTGTCTTCCCTTCTACCTCCTCCATCTCTTCCACTTCTTCCACCCCAAGACAGCAAGATGAACTCCTCCTCCTCCTCAGCCTACTCAGTTTGAAGAAAATGAGGACAAGGACCTCTGTGGTGATCTTCCTCTACTTAATTTTCTCTTTCTTATGATTTTCTTAATGATATTTTCTTTCTCTAGTTTAGTTTGTTGTAACAATACTGTATGTAATACATATAACATGTGTTAATCAACTGTTTATATTATCAATGTGGCTTCAGGTCAACAGCAGGTTATTTGTAGTTAAGTTTGGGGGGAGTCAAAAATCCTTGTATGATTTTTGATTGCACAGGGGTTGGTATCCCTAACCATTGCCTTATTCAAGAGTCAATTTTATATGCATATATAGATTTTAGCCACAAATTCTTAATGCTGTTTATAGTGTAAAGTGAACAACTGGTTTCATTCTCTCCAAAGATAAAAACACTCTAGTGTTTTGAGGAGACAATTGGGGAAATCATCACTAGTAGATGCCACTGACTGTGGGTCTCATATTAAAACTTAGACTCTGTGGTTGTAAAGAAAGGCAGGGGCGAAGGTCACATGACAAGAGAAATGAGAGCAGTCCAATAAAATTCAAGCAAGTGTGTGAATGATGGACAGCGTCTATCGAGGAGGGCTTAAAATAAAAAGAGAAACAAGAAGGTACAAAGCAAAGGTGAAGATGAAGGCAGATGATAATTTTCTAATACAGCCTATTTTCATTCTGTTTGAAATCTGGAGGATGTCGTCTCATGAGCTTGCCTACTGTTGTGTGGAAGGCATCCAACCCCAGCGTCCAACTGAGACACTGGTGATCTGATCTCCAATGATAAGCTGTGGTGGGAAAGGATCAGAAAGATAACCAAGGGATGAGACAGAAGAAGGATGTATCTCTGAGGCCTCCCAAGAAAAAGCAGCAAAAACAGATTTTAAAATCAAACAAACAAAAAACATAACTAACGAAGCCCAGCAAGTGGTCAAAGATTTCCTGGTTTTTGTGTAATAGGTTAATGAAATAGCTCTGGAGCCCCCTAAATTCTTTCGTGGTTAGTTTTGGTTGGAAAGTTTAAATGGAGTATTTGTTGTTTGTGTGTATATTCCCTACTTGTTTCCACAAATAATTTAAGTGCAGAGGAAAATGATACCCAAGTTGGTGAAGACAGATTTGTATGTTTTCCTCCTAATACCTCGATATTATTTGAAACTTGTAAAAAGAGCATACATTCATATATTACTTTGGAATTTCAATATGTAAGAACTTAAAATGGCTTTGAAACATAGCTTGTATTTGATTCTTTTACCTCTGCTTAGTTGAGAGAACAGGATAAGAAATCTTTTTGTTGAAGTGGACAATCGTAGACAGAAGATCCTAGGAGGAAAAGGGAAAAATACAGCAGAGTAACTCATCACAAACTGAAACCTATACAATCAGTGACAGATTAGAGTTGGGCTCGCCTGAGTGTATGGGGAAAGTACAGAGGGTAACAGTTCAGCCTGCATCTGCAGTAGACGAGTTCTTGTTCAGAAATGTATCAGTCATGACTCGCTGTATACAAAAGCAGAGACCGAAGTAGGGCAGATCAGAATGTGAATCCCATGTCACTACATATGAGCCGTGGATCTTGGGTAAGTATTTGACGTTTCTGAATTTGTTTCCAAATCCATAAGATGGAGATATTAATGTATATCTCCTGAGACTGTTGTAAGGAGTAAATGAACTGATAACTATAAAATGCAGCAAAGGTAATCAGTCAATGGTAGTAATGGCTGTCAAGAGCCTCTTTGAAAAAGAAAAATGATGGGCAAGACATCAAGAGAATATAAAAATGTATATGACTGTAAAATTATATATTTAACATCTGCCTGGATTATCTAAAAAAGATGAGATAAAGTTTGAAGCAAGAAATAAATTGTGTAGCTCAAGGATAAAGGAATTGTTTCATGTAAAAAAGAAGGCTAATGAAAAACCCTTATCATTCTCAAAATATATAGATGAGGTGGGAAAGAGGGATGAAAAGCCATTCACTTAATCCACACAAAGACATAAATTTAAGATTAGGAATACACAAGAAATTAGTTTCTTTCTTTCTTTTTTTGTTTTGTTTTTTTGTTTGTTTGTTTGTTTTTGTTTTTGTTTTTGAGATGGAGTCTCTGTCCCCCAGGCTGGAGTTCAGTGGCACAATCTCGGCTCGCTGCAACTTCT
The DNA here is from genome assembly GCF_000001405.40 of Homo sapiens. Taxonomy (NCBI): domain Eukaryota; kingdom Metazoa; phylum Chordata; class Mammalia; order Primates; family Hominidae; genus Homo; species Homo sapiens. Next base: position 28,631,329 of record NC_000012.12, on the reverse strand, counting down.
GCCTCCCGGGTTCAAGCGATTCTCCTGCCTCAGCCTCCCGAGTAGCTGGGATTACAGGCACCCACCACCACACCCAGCTAATTTTTGTATTTTTAGTAGCGACAGGGTTTTGCCTTGTTGGCCAGGCTGGTCTCAAACTGCTGACCTCAGGTGATCTGCCTGCCTCGGCCCCCCAAAGTGCTGGGATCGCAGGTACAAGCCACCGCGCCTGGCCAGAAATTAGTTTCTAAGCATGAGGAGCTCTGTATCATATCATGAAACGTTTCCCTTGGTAATTTTTGAATTCAATTGACACCTCTAGCCTTGATAGCATGGATGTTGCAGAGCTATGTGCTGAAATATATCAAGTTTCAGGAAAGTAAAGCAATTGAATAAGGATGACTCCAAACAGCTTTGAAAGTAAGTGAAAGGAAAAACAAGAGGAATTTAGATCAGGAGACCACTTAAGGCTTTTAGAGTAGAATGAAAAGTCACAAAACAAAAAGAACAATGGAAATGATTCAGACAAAGATTTCTGTATATCACATTCATCTAGGTATTTTAGTGGTTGTAAAAGCATATTGGTAGGTAGAGACTGAGGTGTAGAGAGCTTTGAAGCTCAGGTTTAAGGCACAAACAGGGTGTTGAGGCAGTGAGTCCCAATGTGGTATTCCTAGCAAGGCGACCAAGTTTCATGGGTCATTTAGACATGGGGAAGTGTAGGAAGGAAAGAAGTGAATAAGGTCATTTGCCAGCTGAAATTCCATCTTGGAAGGATCCGTGTTATCTCCCCTCCTCCTCCCTATGAGCTAGAAAATAATATTTTCTTCTCCTAGTTATTTTTAATTGACTTCCATCAGTGCACCTCAGAGAGCAGGGGGATGTCAGGATCATAATTCAACTTGAGAACCATGTGAAGCAAGGTGAAAGTTTTCACAACACTGGAAAATCTAAGAATTTGTCTCAAACACAGAGCTGAGAGTGCCCGACTCCATGAAGAAATTGACATTTTTACCTAAAATAACTGTTCAAATTGTACATTTGCTACGTTTTATAAACATCAGAAGGGCACCACTGACACCCAAGTGAAAAATCCCCACCTTGGCCAAAATGGTTTCACATAAAAACAACTTAGCTACCAAGGAAAACTTTCTGCACTCCTTGTGCCCAGGGGAATCTGGGGCAGGAGAGCCTGTGCCTACCTCTGCGAAGAAGCGAAGACTTTAACCCCACATGGGAGATGTGCTTTTAGGTTGAAATGATGCTGGCTTTAGCATCCGTCTTTTTCTCTTGGGACTAGAGTAGGTACCTCCCAAATTCACTTTTAGAGCAGCCCCACACTGCTATTTGTCTCTTGTCCACCTTTTAACTTGCTCTGTATAAACATTTCACCCTCTGCCGCAGACAGCCGCCCACCTCCGCCTGCCTGCCGGCCTGCCTGCCTCCCTGCTTGCTGGCCTCCCCTCCTCAGGCTTCTGCTGGAGGAACACCTAGCAAACAACATGCGCTTTGGGGCTCAGTGTTCTTCAAGGCTGCCAGTTCTTTCAGGAGGTCATTTACATGCTTGGCTCCTACTTCAATGAGCTACTCTGGAGCGGCCAGTGAAAAGTGCTTTTGCTCCTGGAAAATATTGGAGTGCTTTGTTGCAAATGGTGAATCCATGGCTCCCAGTCATCAGAGATAGCAGCTGATGCGGTTGAACTGGCCATTTCTTAGGGAGTGATTGTACTCTCATAAAGTGTGATATAGCAACTTCAGCTCCCAAATTATGTTTTGTAAATAATTTGCCATTTTTCTGTGATTCATTAAACTTATTTTGGCACTGCCTACCTGGTCAGTCTCTTGTTTGTAGATTGCCATGGTGCATAATTCTTAATGGGCCAAAAAAAGACACAAAGCTAACATTTACTCATTACATTCACATAGTGTGTATGAAGAAAAACACCCCCTTGCTCACACCCTTTAGAAAAGACATAAATTTTGACAGGAAAAGTATTTCAAGGGGAGCTCCATGTATTTCTTTACTCAGTTGTAATGGCAATATTATCAAATTAGTTTGTGTTGCCTCCAACTTAATATTTTCATTTGGTTCTTTTTCCTCTTAAGTGTACTATAAAAAGATGATTAATCAAAAAAGAAGGGTTACCTTTGATTAAGGAAGTTAATTATGAGTGGCTGACTTGATGTGGGTGGGAGGCTTCACTCAGCCATGTTATTTTCTTCTCCATGGGAGAGCTAGAAAAATGGGCCATAGGCAAAAGAAGGAATCACTGGGAGTAGTAAAAACTTGAAAGGAAACTTCAACTTTCCCTGCCATCGTCAATAAGCAATGCCGAAAATGTTTCTTGTCTACATTTTCTTGCACATTTAATGGGCCTCCTGGTGCTATTTAAACATCAACTACGGTTCCAAAAACCATGATGAATTACATAAATAATCGCCATAATATTATACCCATTTTATGATGGGGAGGCTGAGTCAAAGATGAATTATAAGAAACAAAATGGTTTTCATGATTGCTGAATTTACTCCTGGAGTCCCACGAAAAGTATTTATAGAGAGGAAGAGTTGCTCACATGCACTTCAGAGCCAGAATGCCTAGGTTGGATCACTGGTTCAGCCTCCTTGCTAGTTGTGTGAAGAATGGGAACCTCTCTATGCCTCAGTTTTCTCATCTGTAAAATGGACACAATAATGGCAGTCTCCCTCAAGAGTTTGTTTTGAATATTAATTGAGTTAATTTGTGAAAACTACTTGGAACACTGCCTTACTTACATAATGCTAACTGGTAGCTATTGTTATTGTTATTGTTGTGACATGTCATAATGTGTAAGTACTAAATAGAGAAAACAATGTTGAACAGAAAAATCAAACAAAAGGTAGCTATTTAGCCTCTTCAGCTCCCAGGCATTTCTGTGTCTGCCTGGTCTATAAGCCTTCAAGGGTGCTTTCCTGGCTAAAGAAGAGTGTGCCCTCAAGTGGAAATCATTCTTTATTTTTATCCTGAGACCCTTGTCTCCTGGGCATCATTTTTCTGGTGTCCTGGAGAAAAGCTTTGGTCCTGAAGAAAGCTGGTGTCCTGGAAAAAGCTAGCATCAACTCCCTACTCTCTCTAAAGAGAGGGTCTCACTGTCCTTCTACAAGGCCAAGCTAAAGAAAGTGTTCCCACTACCTTGGTGATGATTGAGGAAAAGAACCTAATATTACAATTTGTTCATTGCATTGTGAACTGAACCTGAACACTGGAACACATTTCTGTTTCTAACCGTTTGGTCTTTGCCCCCAAGCCAGGCCTTGTGTCCTTCACACTCAGTGGCTTCTCCTCATGGTCTGGCTACCAAGGGTGCAAATTCACTTGGCACACAGCAGGTCGACACATTTTCTCAGCAAAAGTTATGCTTAGGTGTCCAGTCAGAGCCTCATGGGCCCCAGAAGTTCTCCATCTGGTTGCATTCTTTGAAGCATGTTCCAAAATCAAATAAAGCAAAATGTTCTCTTTATGTTAACATATTCGCTTGCTCAGGTGGACCTGTTGCTTTGAGGCAGCCTCAACATTTGCCACCCCTCTAATGATGAACAAGTGATTTCTTCTCTCTAGTCTCGGTGAAATGAGACTGATAAAAACGAATCTACCTCAGTTGTTGTAGAGACTAAACCAGACACAGAATGTTTTTATATGTGGGACAATATTTTTAAGTGCTTCATAGATATCTAGTAAATGTTAGCTATTATTGTGTATGCGCAATGAAGGTTTTGTTTGGTTTGATTTTGGGATTTTAAAAAATTCATATCTGTTTTGCATTCTCAAATCAAATTACACATTGGAAAGAGTAGGAATCATATCCTCTGGTTTCTTTGTTTTCAACCAAAGTAGTTTATACTGTGCTCTTGTGAGGAAACCATGTCCACTTTGTTACGCCTCTCTGCATAAGAATATGCAGTTTCCTCTACCTACAAATAAATTCTTTGTCATTTGTTTGTCTGTTTAAACCCTACTCATTCTTCTTCTCAACTGTCACCTTCTTTAGCGGTCAATCTGGTGTCGTTTCTCTACTTTCTTTTGGTACATTTATTCTTAGTATAGTTCATGTGACAGGATATAAAAAGTCAACTTTTTTAATATAAAAAGACCTCTTTTGCTTTTCTTCAATTTCTTTGCTATGTTGGAATGATGGGATACAAATGTTTCTTCTATGCCCCAAAAGTATTTGACAAATAAGCCCACCCTGCCCTAAAGTAAAGAGAAGCAGTTTTCTTTTGTCCAAGATTTGACTCAGGGTTTATGGGATCTTCAAAATCTCTTATGAAAGATCCAAAAGATAATGGGGGACACACAAGGAGGAAACAGAGTGCATGGGGGCTGGATTCTCCCAAAATATCAGAGGAAGAGAAAAGAATTGAGGGGGTAACTACAGGGTTCTTGTGAGTGCAACTGCTGATTCCAGGAGGTGGCCCAAGAAGGAAGAGATCTGCTTTGCAGAAGAAAGGACTTTGTGAAGAGTCAGTGCGGGACACATTCTTAGAGTATTCAGGTGCCCCTGCAGCCCTGAGTTATGGTTCAGTTATCTGCCCGCCCTCACTGAAGGGAGGGAGAAGGTCCCCTGCCCTGAGAAAAAGACTTGATTCTATTCCCTCTTTTTCTGCCAGGTCAGCAAGAGTGACTGCCAGTCAATCCTCTAAAGTACCCTCAGACTTCATCTGATTATGCAACCTTTACACCCCTTCCTCACCCACACAACAGTCCTAGAACACCAAGCCACCTAAAAGGGTGAACAACCCAAGGAGGTTGGAGGAGCTTTACAATTAGGAAATTGGCTAAAGACCCATGAATACGGACAGTTCTATTGACTCTTCAGAAACTTCATTTATCCATATGGGTTTGCCATCTGTCTCTGCCTTCTTGCCCAGCAACCTGTAAGCACATAGAAGTACAGTGAGATGTGGGCAAGGAGATTATCTCCTCCACCTACTGCTCACTACCATCTGTGCCTTCAAATGTCTGCAACCCTTCCTAGACTATAGTAGGGTATTTTCGTTATGGTGCTTGGCTTTTGAGACATAAATTCACTTGAGCTAACTCAAATAATGTGTTTCAGATTAAGCAAAAAGGGAAAACAATATTTCATGAAATTTCAAGAACAGAAATCATATATAGATCCTACATTACTATCCAGGCTGTAGATTGATTATGTCCCGGATTAGGTGCTGAATCCTGGTACAGACATCCACAATTAGTGGGCAGGGTCATGCGGTCATTAACACAGCTTCAGGGAGTTGCCTCTTTGGCAGGGGCAGAAAATGGGGCATTTCTATGAGACAGATGTAGACAGAGTAGGCACTCGAATAGTTATATCTGGTATACAAGTGCTCCATGAATGTTTCTTGACTAATGGAATGAGTGGCAGTTGAAAGCACATGTTCCGGAGTGTATTAGTTCATTTTCATACTGCTATGAATAAGTATCCCAAGACTGGATACTTCATAAAGAAAAAGAGGTGTAATGGACTCACAGTTCCACATGGCTGGGGAGGCCTCACAATCATGTCAGAAGGCAAAGGAGGAACAAAATCACATCTTAGGTGGCGGCAGGCAAGAAAGTGTGTGCAAGGGAACTACCCTTTATAAAACCATCAGATCTCGTGGTTCAGTTACCTCTCACTGGGTTCCTCCCATGATACATGGGGATTATGGGAGCTACAATTCAAGATGAGATTTCACTGGGGACACAGCAAAACCATATCATGGAGTAAGAAGCTTTAGTTCAACACTTGCTAGCTTGTGACCATGGAAAAATTACTTAAACTTTTTAGGTCTCAGTTTCATCATTTTTAAAAAGAGAATAAAAATAATGGGTACACTATAAAGTCAATGTAAGGATTAAGAGAAATAACCCATGTAAAGTGCCTGGTAGTGCCTGGAACATAAGTATTGAATAAATGATAGCTAACAACATTAAAAATCATCACCATTATCATTACTGCTACTACTACTACTACTACTGTTACTAGATACTTGGATATAAAATGCCTGCTGGCCTTTTCATAGATATGAAATACAAAAGTTATGAATAAGAATATAAAGACACCATAAATATTAAAATACATATAGTATGTGTATATTTCAAAGATATTTAATATAACAAACTCGAGGTTGGCACAAAAAAGGGAACAGTTTTCTCAAGTAGCTGATGAAAACTTAGACTAGAAGAGTTCCCAAACAGCAGGAGGAAGAAATACAGATAGAAGAAAACTGGTCTTCCTTGCCTAAAAGATTATCTTGAGCAAATGAAATCAAGAAGAGGTCTTTTACTCCTGGCCCCAAGTGATCCACCCACCTCAGCTTCCCAAAGTGCTGGGATTACAGGTGTGAGCCACCGCGCCGGGCCAAGCTCTTTTAAAATAGACTTTGTCTCTACTCTAGGAGGGGAGATTCCAGGAGGGAGAAAAGTAAAGTCTCCAATTGTCAATTTACCTGTTACCTTTGTCAATTTACCTGTTTTACCTGCCCTGAAACTGCTGTCTCCTTCCTCCCACAAGTTAGTGTTGGGTGCTCATTATATGCTATACACTGTGTTGGAAGAGTGAAAGGATTGAGGTCAAATGCATCTTCTCAAGAAGCCATAGATTCTTCTCAAGTAGCCATTTATTACTTTCAAGAGGTCTCACAGGTTTATTTCTAAGTCAGAGAGCAGGGTCTTTCCACTAGTGTCATTGCCGTTAGACTCCTGGGGTGTGTGGACTTCTCCCCATCTGAGCAAAGGAGAGAGAAATCCCTTTCACTCTTACCATAATTCATAGCAAACAGGAGAGTTTGCAAGATACACACACACTCTCCCCAATAGCATAATTTATGAAGCACAAATATCTGAACTATTTTTACTTAAATCTAAGCAAAGAGTGGGTTTTCTACCATGAATTTGTAGGGTTTCTAGCACCCATATATTTTCTCAAGTTCAACTTTTTCTAAGGTGGATTATAAGTACACAATTCACAATAACACACAAGGTGACTTTAAAATGAGCTTTCAGTCTAGCAAGAGTCACACTTGTCCCTATCACCTTTTTCTTGGTGTATTAGTTTCCTAGAGCTGCAGTAGCTAATTACCACAACCCAGGTGACCTCAAACAACAGAAATCTATTCTCTCATAGCTTTGGAGTGAACAAGTCTGAAATCAAGGTGTTGGCAGGTCCTTGCCCTCTCCAAAAGTACTGGGAAAAGATCTGCTCTGGGTCTGTCTCTCAGCTTTGGTGTTGCTGGCAATTGTTGGATTCCTTGGCTTGTATGTGCATCGTTCCAACCTCCACCTCCATCATCACATGGCATTCTCCCTGTGTGTCCATCTTTCTGTGTTTCTTCTTTTAAGGACACCAGTCATAGTGAATTAAGGGCACACCCTATTCCACTATGACCTCATCTTCACTAATTACATCTACAATGACAATTTATGAATACAGTCACATTCTGAGGTTCTAGGAAAAACATGAATTTTAGAAGGACACCATCCAATCCAGTACTCCTGATTTCATCCTTAGTTGAGAGTTCCTACGTCCATTCCTTTGCCCCAGATAATTGCTCTGGATTCTTTAGGACCTTCCTATTTCCCAAGTGAGGAAGATACTTACTTACCTGATTCCCATAAGTCTTTTCCTGGGCTTTAGGTCCTTTCACCTGTGCTTCTTTTATCTCTTTCCAAGAAGTCCATAGTCCTGGACACCTGGAAATTCTATTCTCATACCTGGCCTGTTCTGTTTTCCTCACATACACTGGCTTGTGAAGCTTGTTTTACCACCAGTTATTCAATTTAATTTAGTTTTTTTTTTTTAATTTTTTATTTCCATAGGCTTTGGGGGGAACAACAGGTGGTATTTGGTTACATGACTAAGTCTTTAGAGGTGATTTGTGAAATTTTGGTCCATACATCTCCTGAGCAGTATAGACTGAACCTAATTTGTAGTATTTTATCCCTCACCTCCCTCCCACCCTTTCCCCCTGACTCCCCAAAATCCATTGTGTCATTCTTATGCCTTTGCATTCTCAGACCTTATCTCCCACTTGTGAGTGACAGCATTCGATGGTTGGTTTTCCATTCCAGAGTTACTTCACTTAGAATAGTCTCCAATCCCATCCAGGTTGCTGTGAATGCCATTAATTAATTCCTTTTTATGGCTGAGTAGTATTCCATTGTATGCATATACCACAGTTTCTTTATCCACTCATTGATTGATCAGCATTTGGGCTGGTTCCACATTTTTGTAATTGCAAATTGTGCTGCTATAAACATGTATGTGCAAGTATCTTTTTAGTATAATAACTTCTTTTTCTCTGGGTAGATACCCAGTAGTGAGATTGCTGGATCAAATGGTAGTTCTAATTTTAGTTGTTTAAGGAATCTTCACACTGTTTTCCATAGTGGTTTTACTAGTTTACATTCCCACCAATAGTGTAGAAGTGTTCCCTTTTCACCCCAACCGCACCAGCATCTATTATTTTTTGAATTTCTGATTATACCATCAGTTTTTCAAAGTCAGAATCCAGGCCCAAGTTCCCCAGTTGTGGAGTACTAGCTTACGCTCTAAATTCTTAGCTTTACCTGAACTTGCCTTTAAAAGCCAGAACAAGCCCCTTTGCAAAGGCTTGCTTCCTTTCAGGGTGACACTATTCATTTCTATTTTCTCTCTAATGTATAGCATCTGCTCTTTATTCATAGAGGAGTTAGTGAGACATTCCTTGAGGCTCAGGACTAATCAGCTTCCAGATTCTCTTAATGACTCATCACTCACATGAAGACTACGGGTTTTTCCAAATCATAGTATCATGGTATTAAAATAGCAAAAACCTTTAGAAGCATATAATGGAAATGTACAAATGGATATATTCCTACCCAGAGGAAAAAAAATATGACACTACTTTAAAGTACCTACGGATGTTTTGCTTTTAAGTAGTTTATATTATTTTCACTTTGTGTTGTAAAATATTTATAACAATACTCAAGGAAATCAGTCTTACAAATGGTTAGGATCTTAGCTGGCTCTGACTGATTTAAGTAGGAAAAGTATTTATTGATAGGGTATTGGGTAGTTCATAAAATTACCTGAATATTAGATGTTGGCAGCAGATAATAGTCTTGAGAAATAGGGTACTCTAGACTTTCAGCTGGGCAAAATATCAAAAGGAATGATAGAATAGATCTTAGACCAGCACCTAGAAAAGTCAGCCACACCTCATTTTAAGTTTTTCGGTACACCTAAATGAGCAAATATACATGAACTGCAGTTAACACACCTACTGGAGATAAATTCATTACCTTCAGAAGCACATAGCAAGTTGACTCAGGCAGCTCTCCAGAATGTTTAATTCACTAATATCAGGCCAATCAATAAGCCATAGAGTTGGATCTTAAGGCTACTGTTAGCCTTTCTCTTTTTATGTTTCTGTTTTTCCAGAACTAGAGAAGGTGATGATGTTAAGGCTGCCTTTCTGCAATTCAACCAAGAAGGATAAGAAAAAAAAGTCTGTTTTTAAAAAGAAGACAAAAGCTAAATTAACAAATATGAGGCATGTTTATTTCACTTCATTCTCTGCCAGAATGTGCATTTGCTGCGGTTCAGATGAATGGTTCTCAAATTAGAATCTCAGGGCCATTGGTGGTCTCATTATGTCCTAGGTGGTCCTGTAGGCCAATTACAAATATGTTCTAAAGAGTCGTTCTAAATGTGTGTTTTTAGTTTATTTTAATTTACTTGGTGAATTTAAATCAAAGTATGAGAATCAATATTTTAAGATGGAAACCTCAGCAATGAGTATTAATGTAAAAAAGCATTGCTTGAGATTTCGTACATGTATATGGTGGTAGTGTAGGTGGTCTAGCGGGCCTTTGTACTTACTTTGTACTAGATATTGTGTTAGGTGCTAGAGAATCACTGGTGGTCTCACAGGGGATAAATTCTTATGTATCAAATTTATAATACATGAATAAATAAAACTATATTTCTGAATTGTAAATGACCAACATAAGTACTGTCATTTTGTAAAGCCCTTCTTGAAATAGCTTTCCTATCTTTATGGTTTGCATCAGACTGGGTTCTTTTAAAAGCAGAACCAAAAACAAAAGCTTGTGATCAGACACTTAATTTGGGATGTGATTCTAGGAAGCAACAGCAGAAGGCAGGAGTAAAGTAGGTCAGGGAAGGAGAAAAGGTTGGCTACCACTATGGGAAAACTGAGTTCAGTCTTGCAGGATTCTCTGAAGGAGCTTTACAAAACACATTATCTGGATGGATTGCCCAGGGAAAGAAATGGGAAAGCATTTATCAGCTCATGTCCCAAACTGGTCAAAGATAGCTCCGTTGGGATTGAATCCCCTGCATTTCTGGAGCCCTTAGAAGCAAAAATCTCTTTTGATTAAGCCACTATAATTGAGTTTCTGCTACATCAAGCCAAATGCAATACTAAATAATACCTACATGTTCTGTACTTTTTTAAAAATAGTCTTATTAATACATGGTTTACATATCATAAAATTCACCCATTTTAAATGTGCAATTCAATGAAGGTTAGCATTATCTACAGAGTTCACAATTTGTCTTCATTTTAATTTTTTCACTTAATTTATTTTGTATAGCATTTCATACATATACATATGGATCCAATTTATTCTTGTTAAACAATTGTGTGGTATTTGTAATCATAGTCATTAGTGTTATATACTAATTATTTCAACTCTACATCAGGACAAAATTCCTCTGCCCCATGAAGTTAGGTGTGCCCACTTAATGAAATGAAATGTGACCGTAAGTGACACGTTTCTTCTAAGGTGGAGCTTTAAAGACACTGTGTTTTCAATTCAGCACTTTCTTTCTCTCTGTCCTAGTAATTGGCAATGTTCCAGATAGTGGTAACTAAATCAGCCTGGGTCCCAGAGTGAGCATGACACAGATCACAGCACCTATCTCAGTCACAATGAATATGTACCATGAACGAAAAATAAATCTTTGTTTATTTAACCATCTGAGAATTTAAGATTATTTTCTTACAGCTGCAGAAACTAATCCATCTTGCCCTCTATACCTTCATTTGTTTAACCAACCCCATGTTCACTACCATTTTATTTAGCTTGAATTTTTATATAATAAATAATCCTGAAATAAGAATCCTCATATCTTTGTGCATACTTGAATAATTTTAGAATAAAAATAGAAATAAAATTGCAGATCAAAGGATACACATGTTTCATATTCTACCAGATATTACAAAATTGCTTCCAAAGATTTTGAAAATTCTCTCAGAAGGAGAGTAACTGTATCCTGGCCATCACACTTATGATAGAAAGTATTATTATTTTTACTTTCACTGATCCAATAAGCAGAATATTTCATTGTGTTTAAACTTTTTTGATTGGTAGTGAGATAGGGCATTTATTTTCATATGATTGTTGACTATTTGATTGTCCCCTTTGGAGGTTAGTAATTTTGCTATGATGGGCTGATTCTAACTTTGTATTTTTCCTGTTGGGTTGTTTGTCCTTTCTTCTTGATTTTTCAGAGCTCTTACTGTAGTACGAAATTAATCTTTATGTGATACAGATATTTCCTCCACTAATTCTGGCATCTATATGCCTATTGAGTAGAAAACTCGTTAAAAATTATGTAATCAAATCTATCATTTTCTCATATAACTTCTGAGTTTTGTATTGGAGAGAAAAGCCTTTTTCCCATATGATTTAGAAAATTATCTTCCAGTTTCTGTTAATACTTCCACAATTTCATTTTTTACAGTTTATACTTTAATTCATCTGATTTTTTAAATTTAATTTTTAATTTTTAATTTGTATGGTTACATAGTACATGTATATATTTATGGGGTACATGAGATATTATGATACAAGCATACGATGAATAGTAATCACATCAGGGTAAGTGGGGTATCCTTAACCTCAATCATATGTTCTACACATTCCAATTATACTCTTTCAGTTATTTTTAAACATAAACTATTGTTGACTATAGTCACTGTTATGCTATCAAATACTAGATCTTATTCATTCTAACTAACTATATTTTTTTACTTATTAACCGTCTCCACTCCCAATACCCTTCCCAGCCTCTGGTAAACATCCTTCTACTCCCTATCTCCATGAGTACAATTGTCTTAATTTTCAGATCCCACAAATGAGTGAGAAATTAGGAAGTTTGCCTTTCTGTGCCTTGCTTATTTCACTTAATATAATCACCTCCGGTTCCATCCATGTTGTTGCAAATGACAGGCTCTCATTCTTTTTATGGATGAATTGCACTCCATTGTATATATGTGCCACATTTCCTTTATCCACTTGTCTGTTGATGGACACTTAGCTTGCTTCCAAATCTTGGCTATTGTGAATAGTGCTACAATAAACATGGGAGTGCAGATATCTCTTTGACACACGGATATCATTTCCTGTGGATAAATATTCAGTGATGGAATTGCTGAATCCTGTGACAGTTCTAGCTAGTGTTTTGAGGAACCTCCAAACTGTTCTCCATAGTGCGTGTACTAATTTACATTCCCACCAATAGTGTACAAGTATTCTCTTTTCTCCACATCCTTGCCAGCATTTGTTAAAATGCTTTTGGGTAAAAGTCATTTTTACTGGGATAAGATGATATCTCATTGTAGTCTTGATTTTCATTTGTCTGAAGATCACTGATGTTGGGCAGTTTTTCATATACCTGTTTGCCATTTGTATGTCTTCCTTTTAAGAAATGTTTTTTAGATATTTTGTCCATTTTTAAATCAGATTATTAGATTTTTTTCCCTATTGAGTTATTTGAGCTCCTTAAATATTCTGGTTACTAAACCCTTGTCAGATGAATAGTTTGCAAATATTTTCTCCCATTCCGTGGGTTGACTCTTCCCTTTGTTGATTGTTTCCTTTGCTGTATAGAAGCTTTTAGTTTGATATGATCCCATTTGTCCATTTTTGCTTTAGTTATCTGTGCTTGTGGAGTATTACTCAAGAAATCTTTAGTTATCTGTGCTTGTGGGGTATTACTCAAGAAGTCCAATGTCCTGGAGAGTATCCTCAATTCTTTCTTTTAATAGTTTCACAGTTTGAGGTCTTAAATTTAAGTCTTTTTTGCATTTTGATTTGACTTTTGTGTATGGAGGAGGTAATGGTCTACTTTTTTCTTCTGCATATGGATATCCAGTTTTCCCAATATCATTTATTGAAGGCTGTTCTTTCCCTGTTGTATGTTCTTGAAACGCTTGTTGGAAATGATTCAATGTAAATGTATGGATTTATTTCTAGATTCCCTATTTTGTTCTATTGGTCTATCTCTCTGTTTTATGCCAGTACCATGGTGTTTTGGTCACTATAGCTCTGTAGTATAATTTGAAGTCAGGTATTGTGATTCTTTCTGTTTTGTTCTTTTTTCTCAGGATGGCTTTGGGTATTCTGGGTCTTTTGTGGTTCCATGTAAGTTTTAGGATTATTTTTTCTTTTCTTATCAAGAATATTATTGGTGTTTTAATAGAGACTGCATTGAATCTGTAGATTAATTTGTGTTGTATGGACATTTTAACAATACTGGTTCTACTAATCCATGAACATGAAATGTCTTCTCATTTTTTATGTATACTTCAATTTCTTGTATTAAAATTTTGTAGGTTTCATTGTAGAGAACTTTCACTTTGTGGTTACATTTATTCCTAAGTATCTCATTTTATTTGTAGCTATTGTAAATAGAATTAATTTCTTGATTTCTTTTTCAGATTGCTTACTATTGGCATATAAAAATGCTACTGATTTTGATATGTTGATTTTGTATTCTGAAACTTTACTGAATTTATCAGTTCTAACAATTTTCTTGTGGAGTCTTTAGGTTTTTCCAAATGAATTATATCATCTGCAAACAAGGATAATTTGACTTCTTCTTTTCCAGTTTGGATGCCTTTTATTTCTTTCTCTTATCTGATTGCTCTAGCTAGGACTTCCAGTACTATGTTGAATAACAGTGGTGAAAGTGGGCATTCTTATCTTGTTACATATCTTAGAGAAAAGGCTTTCATTTTTTCCCCCATTCATTATGATACTAGCTGTGGGTCTGCCATACATGGCTTTTACTGTGTTGAGATATGTTACTTCTATACCCAATTTTCTGAAGGCTTTTATCATGAAGTAATATTGAATTTTATCAAACGCTTTTTCAGCATCAACTGAAATGATCATATGTCTTTTGTCCTCCATTCTGTTGATATCTCACATTGATTAATTTGCATATATTGAACCATCCTTGCATCCCTAGAATAAACCCCACTTGGTCATAATAAATGATCTTTTTAGTGTGTTGCTGAATTCTGCTTGCTAGTATTTTGTTTAGGATTTTTGCATTAATGTTCATCAGGGTTATTGGTCTATAGTTTTCTTTTTTTTGATGTGTCTTTCTCTGTGTCTTTTGCTATCAGGGTAATACTGGCTTCATACAGTGAGTTTGGAAATACTCCGTCTTCCTTTATTTTTCAGAATAGTTTGAGTAGGATTGATATTACTTCTTCAAATATTTGGTAAAATTCAGCAGTGGAGCCATCGTGTCACAGGCTTTTCTTTGCTGGGAGACTTTTTATTCTGACTTCAGTCTCATTACTTAGTATTGGTTTATTGAGATTTTGGATTTGTTCCTGATTCAATCTTGGTAGGTTATATGTGTCTAGGAAGTTAACCATTTTTTCTAGGTTTTCCAATTTATGTACATATAGTTGCTCATAGTAGTCTTTAATGATTTTTTTAATGTCTGTGGTATCACATGTAATGTCTCCTTTCTCATCTCTGATTTCATTTATTTGAGTCTTCTCTTTTTCTTAGTCTGGCTAAAAGTTTTTTGATTTTGTTTATCTTTTCAAAAAACCAACTTTTTGTTTCTTTAATCCTTTGTACTTTTTATTTCAATTTAATTTATTTCTGCTCTGATCTTTATTATTCCTTTTTTTCTGCTAATTTTGGGTTTAGTTTGCTCTTGCTTTCCTAGTTCTTTAAGATGCATTGTTAGGTTATTTATATAAAGTTTTTTCTAGTTTTTTGATATAGGCATTTATAGCTATAAAATTCCCTCTTAGTACTGCTTTTGCTGCATTCCATAGGTTTTGGTATGTTGTGTTTTCATTACCATTTGTTTCAAGAAACTTTGTGATTTCCTTCTTAATTTCTTCATTGACCCACTGGTTATTCAAGACCATATTGTTTAATTTGCATGTGTTTTTATGGTTTCCAAAGTTTCTCTTCTTATTTATTTCTAGTTTTATTTCATTGTGGTCAGAGAAGATACTTGATATTATTTCAATATATATTTTAAGATTTATTTTGTGGCCTCACATCTGGTCTGTCCTTGAGAATGATCCATTTGCTGAGGGGAAGAATATGTATTCTGCAGACACTGAATGAAATGGTCTGTAAATATCTATTAGGTCCATCTGGTCTACAGTGCAGATAAAATCCAATGTTTCTTTGTTGATTTTCTGTCTGGATGATCTGTCCAATGCTGAAAGTGGGGTGCTGAAGTCTCCAGCTATTATTGCATTGGGTTCTAACTCTCTCTTCAACTCTAATAATATTTGCATTATATGTCTCAGTGCTCCAGTGCAGTGTAATACATATTTACAGTTGTTACATCCTTTCACTGAATTGACCTATTGAGCATTATATAATGAGCTTCTTTGTCTCTTCTTATAGTTTTTGTCTTGAATCTGTTTTATTTGATATAACTACAGCTTTTCCTCATTCTTTTTTTGTTTCCATTTGCATGGAATTAAATTTTTTAATGAATTATGTGAGCTCCATAAAATATCTTAACGTAGTTTTCAAATGAGATACCAATTTTCCCCATGAAATTATTTCCCCTCTTCATTCAAAATGTACCTTTATCATAGTCATATTTATTACGTGTAAAAAGTTGATTACTAAACTTTGTTCTATTTCAATGATCACTGTCTCTATTCCGACACCAGTAACCCTTAGTTTAATTGATCGAGACCCCTACAATTTTTCTATTTAAACTATTTTCCTATTAGTTATTCTTGCAAGTTTAGATAAATTTGAGAAACTATTAATTAAGCTTCATAAAATATTTCATTGGAGCTTTGAAATTATGTAACATTTATATAGTACTTTGGAGTAATTTGAGTTCTTTACAATATTGAATAATTACATCCAAGAGCATGGTACATGCCCTATTTATTTGTCTTATTTTATGTTCTTGATAAAGATTTATAGTTTTCTTCATATAGGTCTTGTATGTATCTTGCTCTACTTTTTAACGGATTATTTTTGACATCTTGTTTCTCCAGGTTGCATGACAGAAATGAGGTCATTAGACTGAGGCAATTGCTATCGTTCAATTGCTTTGGTTTCACTCTGATATTTAATGTTTTAAAAAGGATACTTATTTCTTCCTCTCTACTCAAGCAAGGCATTGTCTTTCACTGTGACAGTTTGGAAGAACCCATTGCATTTGACCTGCAAATTTCCTTTCATCTGATTCAAATTTATGTTCTGTTGCATGAATGATGACAGGGTAGTTGATCCCAATTGGCTCAAATCTCATCAGCCAAATGGTTCTTGAATTCTTATGTCTTTTAAATAATGGCTCCCTCTGAAAATGTTAGTTATAAAATCACAGCACAATTCTTCTTACACAGCAGGATGTCACATTTATATTAAACCCTTGTGGGCAACAGTGTAGTACATATTGCACACGTGGGCCTGTGGGAGCAATTTAAGGCTTAATGTGTACAGAAAAATGGAAGACAAGATTCCTCTTAAGAGAAGTGGAGACTCTGAAATATTTTTCTAAACCCAACAAATGAATTGGAAATGGTGAACTGCCATCACAAGAGCCCATTCTTCATCATCCTTGTGATACGTAAAACTGTTAGGCTTTCACAAAACAGAAATTTCAAACCTACTTTGAACTTCATATTATGGCATAGCATGCTTTCAAATGTTTACAATAATTTTTATTGATAAAAGTTTTTTTCTTCCATGTTTTAAATGTGTATCTATTTCTGTGTTTTTGCAGTTCTATAAATCTAACTAGAATGTTAAGCTTTGATTGAACTGATCCAACATCTGTGACTTAAAGAAAGTATTTTAGAAGTTCTTATCTTTCTTTACTTTCCACCCATTTTTTATCTTTTTCTCATATTGTTTTCCTCTTTCTTCCTTCGATGATGCATCTGCAAGGCAAGGAACACCAAGGATTGCAGCCACCACCAGAAGCTGAGAGACAGTATGGAACAGATACTCCCCCAGAGCCTCCAGAACAATAGGATAATTAATTTCTGTTGTTTAAAGCCATGCATTTTGTTGCATTTTGTTATGGCATCTCTAAGAAACTAGTATACTCTGCTTAAGAGTATAAACATTGGTTCTTCTCTCTAGTGTGCAAATTTGGAATCCAAGTTCAGTTCTTCCCTACTCCTCTGCATCCTTGCCTCCCCAGAGATGCTCATCAGCATATTCCAGGACTAAACATTCTGGATATGTGTTATAATGTACTGCAGTGGGGAGAGGCATATACACTAATAGATAGAATACTCAGTTTTCCTTAAATCTAACTTGATACATATATTGGCTTTTATAATCTGAACCTGCTTTATCTTCCAAGCCAGAAACTACCTCTGGAAAAGAATTCAGTCCTTTATATTGCCTCCAAGCCACATTTTCAGCTCCAGGATGAAGTGCCCTGTCAATACCTCTGCCCCCATTAACTGGATCATGTAGATCCTGTGCTTAGAACCCTGTTACAAGTCTCTCTCTCCTTAGGTACCACAGCATAGACAGAAATCCATTAGGCAGGACTTACACCTCAGAGCATTTCACATAAATCCTTTCCTTTGCCACACTCAGCACTGCTTACTCAAATATTTCCCCTCTCCCACCTGCTGGCCTCCTGACTTAACATCTGCCTCCATGTATGATCTCTATTCAAGCCTATACATACGTGTGTGTGTGAGAGAGATATATATATCAAATATATATGTCACATGTGATATATATCACACACTCAAATATACATAACACAAACAAGTATATATACACATATATATGCTTGTATTTATGTGTATATACACGTATATGTATACATATATACACATATATATGTATATATATAATTTGCTTTAGTTTAACCCTGCACTACACATGCCATTGCTCATCCTCTGAGCCTTTTTACTGGCCTCACAATCCTATGATCAAAAGTATCTCTCTCCTGGCTCGCTATAAGATTTATACCTTCAAATGTCTTATTATATTCAACACACATAAGATTTGAGGGGAGAGGAGGGAGTGCTGCTATTCCACTTGGGCACACATTGTGTTAGGGAGGACTTTCATCACTGGAGCATTTGAATGTTTTATGTACAAGCTTCTTCTAGAACAATTATTTTATGATTTATATAATCCCATGGGTCACTGTTTGATCTAAGACACAAATGCAGCATTTTTGGTGAAGTCAGTGGAAATCTACATTTGTCCTCTGATGGAAGGAGTTAAATTCAGATAGGGTGAGATAATTTCACCAGATGCCATATATTTCTTATGTAAAAACTAAAATTTTAGAAATAATAAAATTAGCAAAAAAGAAAAATTCTTGCATTATCTGACATTCTTCACTAGGAGCCATCCAAGGATAAGCAATAGGCTTTCTGTCCGTAGACTATTTGACATAAATAGGGACATGTTGAGCATTTTGGAATTATTTAGAGGTTGTTTTATAGAGGTATTCCTATCTCTAGGAACTCAGACTCTCAGACTTTTCATTTTCTTTGCTTTGAATTGTAGAGAATACTTCATGGGACAAAGCAGGAAAACCACCAACAAGAAAAAATGATCCTGGGTGGAATTCCAGAATTGATCTTCAGACATAATGTCCCCATCCCCAGTACAATGTGCATTATTTCATCTACACAGGGTAACTGACACGAGTGGACCTCCAGGTCTGGAGTGTAGGACATGGCTCACAAAGAAGCCCAGAGGAGAGAAACAACAGAGTCTGTGCCACCTGCCTTAGGCTTCCATAGGGAATGATGAGGATGACAAAAGATTGTGCCAAGGTTGGGTCTAAATGACTCATTATGCTTGTTTGATCTGCCTCTCACCTTTCCCAAACCTGCTGACTGCCCTGAGGAACTATCTGTGTGATCAATTTCACAGTGGAAAGAGTGAGGGAAGCATTTCTTCCTGATAGACCTATTCTACTGCACCCCCCAACTCCAATCTCAACTGTGAAGTTTCGTGGGGGCACTGCTTTCAGTGTAATTTTTTAACCTGTTGGGTGAAGTAGCCTGCAGAGATAGCATGTCAAAGTCAACATGAGCTCCAATTCCTCACCTTACCTAAGCTAAAGGTGGAAAATGCTGGACTTTCAGCTTCTAGGTAAAATGCAGCCAATTTAAAATTAACTCAAATATGAACAGGGTTATTGTTAAGAATATAGGAATGTAACTGCAATTTTATTTTATAAATATATAATAAAGTTATTATATAAATTTAAGTAAGCATTGCCCTCAGGAAGAGATCCAAACTCATTAGCTAGGCCATAAAAAGGTCCTGCCTGCTTTCTCAACTCAAAGGTAGCTCCTCTGGCCCCTCCCATGCTGCCCTCCAGCCTAACTAAACCCCTGGCTGTTGGCCAGAAGTGTAGCTTCAGCCTTCCTTTTCCTTTGAATGCCCATCTCAAGGCACACCCAGCTCTCCACCCACCCTCAGTACTTCTT